>NC_000001.11:57281107-57432622 GCF_000001405.40 Homo sapiens | reverse complement strand
TGTCCTCATAAATCTCAATTTCCCCACCTCTTAGTCCTCTTCTTGTTACCTTAATTTTCAAAAAACTTTTTTCATGGAATGGGTTTCTGTAGCTGTAGGCTTAACAACTTTCCAATTTCTAGTCTAGTAACAAAGGGAAAGCATTTTTTTTCCAGTTGGTCCATCTTTTGATACACAGTTTACCCATCTAACCATCTCTAAATTCTAGTTAAGAAGTGTGTTGCACTGAGTCACCTGTCCAACTCTGGAGCTGGTTTAGGTCTACCAAAATTAAATAGAAAAAAAAAAATTACCAGGTAGAGGACTGGTTTCCCAATGAAATCTAGCTGTTGTTTTAGAAGAAGGAGGAATGGCCCCAGAGAGGCAGACAACACATATCTGTCATGCTTTTAACCTTTAACATAGAGGCTACAAAATATGTGGCAGCTATATCATATGCTATGCTGATTCTTCTCTTTTTCGATACTCTGTAAGCATTGGAAATTCATTCTTTTTTTTTTTTTTTCAGAGTCTTGCTTTGTTGCCCAGGATGGAGTGCGGTGGTGTAATCTCAGCTCACTGCAACCTCCGCCTCCTGGGTTAAAGCAATTCTCCTGCCTCAGCATCCTGAGTAGCTGGGATTACAGGCACACACCATCACACTCAGCTAATTTTTGTATTTTTAGTAGAGACGGGGTTTCACCATATTGGTCAGGCTGCTCTTGAACTCCTGACCTCGTGATCTGCCGGCCTCGGCCTCCCAAAGTGCTGGGATTATAGGCATGAGCCACTGTGCCCGGCCCAGCCATTTTTTATAGCTTTTAGTCTACTCCTATTTTCAGGCACTAATATCACCTTAAGCTCCACTTTATGAGTGAAAAAAATTGGAGGTTTGTATTGAAACGTAAGAGTCCTTTGACAATCACTTTAGCTCTCCACTTTTGTTTCTACTGTGCATTTAGCTAAAGAGAGCAGATTGGTGGCATAAATACAATTGCCAGTGTTGCTGCTGTCCGCTACCCGCTCCTTGGAAAAATGAAAGGAGTGCTATTTATAGCTATTGTAAACCAGAGTCAAGTTTAGTAATGCTGCCACACAACCTTTCGCTGGAATCAAGCAAGGCCGGTATCATGAAAGAAGAGATGTTCTGTTGTGATGAAGCTGCATAGAAATATTTTTTCATTGCTTTTTTTGACCTCAGAAGAGAAACAGCAATTGGACATTTTACTTATGTCCAAGGCATACAAGAGAAGTATCTGAAATGTAGTTAAAACAAGATTTGCAAAATATTTGTTTTCTGTTGTGTGTGTGTGTGTTTTTAAGTGGATCCTTTTGTTTTCACTCTAAATTTCAAAATTCTGATTGTGGCAGATAAGACATTTTGTAATTTGTTCATGCATGCTTCTCTAGAGTCAACTACAGCCACCCTCAGAGGGGAATCTCTTTTTTGCCTTTTTACATTCTGTCTTCTTTTTTTTTGTTTTTCTTTTTTTTTTTTTTGTTTTTGGCCTGAAATACTTTTTCTTGCTTCACCTGGTTATCCAATTATCTTTCAGGATGATGTCACTTCCTTCATGAAGTCCTCTTCACATGCTACCTTGGGTTAAATGCCCCATTTGATGCTCCCTTAGCGTCCTGTACTTGGCATTGTCATAGCGTTCATCTCAGTGTAACATGATTATGCGTTTCCTTCACTTGGCTATGAGTTGTTTCAGGACAAGTTTTTTTTTTTTTTCTTTCTCTGCCAATGCCTAACATTGTGCCTGGTATAGAGTAAACAATCAGTAAACATATTTTTAAAATAAAGGATAGACCTTTCTTATTAAAATATAGAATTTGATTATAAGCATGAACTTTAATAAAAGGGAGAGTGAGAGGATTATAAACCTTTGAAATTGTGCACATTCTGTGTTCGTATACTTTGAGCATATTACATCTCTATTAAGCTTGGTAGGAGTGTTCCTATTGTACTTTATTAAAAATTGTATTAACTGTACCCAGCACTTTGGGAGGCCTAGGCGGGCGGATCACGAGGTCAGGAGATCGAGACCATCCTGGCTAACACGGTGAAACCCCGTCTCTGCTAAAAATACAAAAAAAATTAGCCAGGCATGGTGGCGGGCGCCTGTGGTCCCACCTACTCGGGAGGCTGAGGCAGGAGAATGGCGTGAACCCGGGAGGCGGAGCTTGCAGTGAGCCGAGATGGCGCCACTGCACTCCAGCCTGGGCGACAGAGCAAGACTCCGTCTCAAAAAAAAAAAAAAAATTGTATTAACTTGAGAGCTTTATGTACATAGAAACATTCCTAAATGCCTGGCATGTGCAAGTACTACAAACTATTTAATGAATTGTGGGCTGTGTAATAATTTGTGTTTGAAAAACTTCATTCCACTTACAATATCATCACAAAGGGTAACATATTTAGGAGTAAATTTAACTATCGATGTGAAAGATCTGCACGTTGAAAACTGAAATGTTGATGAAAGAAATTAAAGAAGATACAAATGAATAGAAAGCGATCCCATGCTCATGGAGTAGAATAATTAATGTTGCTAAAGTATCCATACTATCCAAAGCAATTGATAGATTCAATATAATCCCTATAAAATGCTAATTACGTTTTTCACAGAAATAGAAAAAAAATCCTAGAATGTATATGGAACCACAAAAGACTTTGAATATATAAAGCAGTCTTATAAGATAATTACAACCCAGAGGCATCATACTACCTGATTTCAAAGTATATTATAAAGCAATAGTAATCAAAATAGTATGATACTGGAATGAAAACTGACACATAGACCAATGAAACAGAATAGAGGGCCTAGGAATAAATTCACCCATATACCATCAACTAATCTTTGGTAAAGTCACCAAGCATACATAAAGGGGAAAGGATAGTCTTTTCAATAAATGGTGTTGGGAAAACTGCATGTCCACAAGCAAAAGAATGAAATTGAATCCTTATATTATGCCATATATGAAAATCAACTCAAAATGGATTAACGACAGATGGAAGACTTGCAATAATAAAAATCCTAAAAGAAAACACAGAGGAAAAGCTCCTTGGCATTGGTCTTCACAATGATTTTTTGGATATGGCACCAAAAGCATAGGCAACAAAAGTGAAAGTAGACAGGTGGGGCTACATCAAACTCAAAACTTTTTCATAGCAAAGGAAACCATCAAAAAAATGAAAAGGCAACCTACAGAATGGGAGAAAATATTTGCAAGCCATGTATCTGATAAGGGGTTAATACTCAAAATATGTAAGGAATTCATTACAACTCAATAGTAGACAACAAACAACCTTATTTTTAAAACGGGCAAAGGACCTGAATGGACTTTTTTTTGTTAAAGAAGGCATATAAATGGCCAGCAGGCATGTAAAAAGTTGCTTAATATCACGAATCATCAAGGAAATGCAATGAAAACCATAACGAGAGATCACCTCACACTCCTAGCACTTTGGAAGGTGAGGCAGGAGGATCGCATGAAGCCAAAAGTTGAAAATCAGCGTGAAAAACATAGGGAGACCTTGTCCTTACAAAAATTCTTGAAAATTAGCCTGGCATGGTGGCACTTGCCTGTAGTCCCAAGATACTTGGGAGGCTGAAGCAGAAGAGTCCCTTGAATCCAGGACTTTGAGGCTGAACTAAGCAATGATGGTACCACTACACTCCAGAATGGGTGACAGAGTGAGACCCTGTCTCAAAAAAAAAAAAGCAAACAACAACAACAACAAAAAAAATCAAAACAAACAAACAGTTTTTTTGGTTGCTGTTTTTTTTTTTTTTTTTTTGTAAAAGACAAATGTAAGAAGTGTTGGTGCAAATGAAGAGATAAGGGAACCTTTGTACGCTGTTGGTGGGACTGTAAATTGGTATAGCCATTATGGAACAGAATATGAAAGTTCTTCAAAAACTAAAAATAGAACTACCATATGTTCCAGCAATCCCACTTCTGGGTATATATCTGAAGGAATTAAAATTAGTATCTCAAGGAGATATCTGCACTACCATGTTCATTCCAGAATTGTTCACAATAGCCAAGATACGGAACCGCCCTAATGACTGTCAACAGATGCATGGATAAAGAAAATGTGGTATATATGTCTACAATGGAATATTATTCAGTCTTAAAATAGAAGGAAATCCTACCATTGGCGACATCATGAATGAACCTAGGGGACATTTTGTTAAGTGAAATAAGCCAGACATAAAAAGACAAATACTGCATGTTCTCATTTGTATGTGGAATCTAAATCAATCAAACTCATCAAAACCTGAGAATAGAATCATGTTTGTCCAGGGCTAGACAGTGGGGAAAATGGGGGGATTTTGGTTAAAGGGTAAAAACCTTCAGTTATATGATAAATAAGTTCTGGAGATCTAATGTATAGCATGGTGACTATTGTTAATAATTATGCACTATGTACTTGAAATTTTCTAAGAGAGTAGATCTTTTTTTTTTCTGAGATGGAGTTTCACTCTTGTTGCCCAGGCTGGAGTACAATGGTGCGATCTCAGCTCACTGCACCCTCCGCCTCCTGGGTTCAGGTGATTCTCCTGCCTTAGCCTCCTGAGTAGCTGGGATTACAGGCATGAGCCACCACGCCCGGCTAAGTTTTGCATTTTTAGTAGAGACGGGGTTTCACCATGTTGGTCAGGCTGGTCTCAAACTCCTGACCTCAGGTGTTCCACCTGTCCCGGCCTCCCAAAGTGCTGAGATTACAGGTGTGAGCCACCATGCCCTGCCCTAAGAGCGTAGATCTTAACTGTTCTTATCACATGCACAAAATTAGTAACTATGTGAAGGTATGGATATGCTAATTAGCTTAATTGTTCTAATTATTTTACAATGTATATGTATATCAAAACATCATCTTGTACATCTTAAATATATACAATATTGAGGCATTATTTGTCAATTATACTTCAATAAAGCTACAGAAAAAGTAAAATGCCCATAGTTTACAGCATAAAATTTTATTACTCTCTGGCTAATTGAAACAATTGTAGGAATAAACAGAATTAAATAAAATATAATACACAAAATGGGCTTCTTTGCTTCCCTTTCTTTGGAGGAGTAGTAATAGCTAGTAGGACTTACGATTTCTGACATTTGATTTTGATTTCCATGATAGGTCAACCAGCACTTACATAGGCTGCTCCTTTGAGTATCTTGAAAATCATGTGCATAGTTATAAATTATGTAAAGTTCAATAAAACTCCATTTTGCTCATGTGCAGGCTGCTCATGCCTGTGTCTTTTATTAGGTTGACTCCAAGATCCTCAAAGGTAGAATATGTTTCTGATTTATCACCATTATTCCCAATGCCTACCACAGTGCCTGATATACAGAATGGACTCCATAAATGCCTGTCAAATTTAAATGAACTATTTTAGAATTATTCTGGGAAGAGAATCAATGTTTACCAGGTGACTGATTTATTCAGTGCCAGGCATGTCCAATATATTAGGCCGGGCGTGGTGGCTCACGCCTGTAATCCCAGCACTTTGGGAGGCCGAGGCGGGTGGATCATGAGGTCAGGAGATCGAGACCATCCTGGCTAACACAGTGAAACCCCGTCTCTACTAAAAATACAAAAAATTAGCCGGGAGCGGTGGCGGGCTCCTGTAGTCCCAGCTACTTGAGAGGCTGAGGCAGGAGAATGGCGTGAACCCAGGAGGCGGAGCTTGCAGTGAGCCGAGATCGCGCCACTGCACTCCAGCCTGGGCGACAGAGCCAGACGCTGTCTCAAAAAAATATATATATATATATTATCTCATTTAAGGCTCACTGCGATCTCAAGAAGCAAGTGTTATCCACCACCATTGTAGGGTTGAGAATTTTGACGTAGACAGAAGTAACTTGTTAAAGATGAATGAAGCTCATTAAATTCCAAACTCTATACTCTATCCAGTACAATAAGAGTGCCTTCCCCAATGGGCTGCTGTGAAGGTCAAATGAGTTAATATATGGAAAGCATCAGAACTGTGTCTGAAACATAATAAACAATATATACATCTTTGCTGTTCTTATTTTACTGTTTCTCGGGGTAGATGATAAAGAAACGTTCACTGAGATTTTTTTCTTATGCCACACTTAATACAAATGACATTGTTATTTTAAAAGGAACAAAAGAAAAAAACCCCTAATTATTAGGTGACTTATTTCATGACATGTTTAGTACAACAACTTAAAATGTTCCTTTAAGATTTGGTTTAGTTTAACTTGAAAGATCATTGGTGGGTATCTACATGTTATGCCCGGATTTGAGAAAAGCTTTGCTTGTTACCCCTGTTGAATTTCAGGGAAATTTGCCCAGTTTCCGTGGTGGACTTGATTCAACACAGAGCAGAGATAGAGTCTTGTATTTCCATTACTTGGCCAAGTCAGTGTCATTAATTCTCTTCAAAGTCTGTAATCATAATGTCAATAGAAAGCCGAACGAAGTGAAAGGTGGGTGAAGGCGGCAGGTTTTATAAGTAGGGCCTTAAGATGCATGTAGATGGTCTTCATGTTCTAAGCCTATCCTCAAAGCATTGAGAAACTTCAATGTTTTTGGCAGTCAATGAGAATTTAGACCTGTGCCTCCATCATAACAGTTTTTTACCCTCCCTTCCCCTGTTTCGACCATGTCTTCTCAGATTTGTCCCTCTTTCCTCAGTATTGAGTTTAGACTCTTGAGATGTGTCTTCATAGATGAAGAAACTGAAGTTAATCTTAATTGAGTTGCCTGGTAAGCCTGAACTTCCTACACAGTGTAGAAGCATATCTGGTGTCAATTGTCCCCACTTTCTAGAACTTTGGAAAACTTGTAGAGACTTAGGCTAGTTTCTCTGCTCCCCACTCGTAGATTATCTGTCACACCTGGAAGTAGGTAGAAACCGAGTAGTATCAGGGATAGGACCTCCCTCCCACCTTTTTGGAAATTTCATCTGATCAACTCTTCTTGCAAGATTGCATCCTGCTATGACCTTACAAATTGTTCTTGTCTCTATGTAAATTGCTATCTTTTCAGGTGATGCATGACAGCCTCCGTTTGCTCAGGTCTCCATTTGTACGGAAGCTGTTATTATGGAATAAGTTTAATGGGTCGTGAATTTTGTGGAGAAAGGGAGGGTCTCTTGATGACTTTGTATGTACCAGCCCTGGACCTACTGGCTCCACAAGGAGTGCATTAGGCTAAATATTTTTAGCCCATTGACTCTGGAGGTAACAACCCTAAATGCTTCATTAAATTTTCATGGGTGAGTGTCAGAAGCTACGAGAAAAAAAAACACCCCAAAACAGAAAAGCACAAATCCATCACATTATCTTTGTTATTATACAGCTGGAAGACAGGAGTGTAGCCCCAAAAAGAGTAACGGTAAACTTTTTAAGGAAGGGTTGCCTGCCTCTTGCTTTCCTTTTCTGCACCTGGGTCCAACAGGGTGGTTTGTGTGCTGTGCGAATCTACATATTATGCACTTGATTTGATTCACCAGGCTCCTCTCTTCTCCTGCATTTCAGGCCTCTGGAGACAGGTATGCCACACAACAGGAATTTTCTGGAGTTGAATCTAGTCTCAAGGTGGAAGAATTTTCAGAATGACCCAATATTTTCTGCGACTTGGTGTTTCTAGGATCTTTGTGAGCTAGGACCCTAAGCAAGGAGCAACTGACTGTGTACTCGCTGGAGCCGCCTCCCGCACAGCTTCGAATCGGAGGATTGTTTACTCCCAGTCATTCTAAGAGCCGAGTAGGGGAGTCGCGGGGAGTAAGCCGGAGTTAACCGTGGTCTGCGTGCTCTCAGGGGCACGGGTCTCTCCTGAGGACTGACGGAAACTTGACACGTGCCAGCCTTCTCCCTCCCAACTTGCCGAACTTTGCCTGGGAAACCTCAGTCAAAACAGGAGCCGCCGAACCTGCACTGGCGGCTGGGAGCGAGCGCCCCCTCCTGCCAAGGGGCGTGGGGGCAACATGCCCTCGCGGAGACTCCCCTCGTGGTTTCGCCCTTCCTGGCACTCCATATATTTGGGTATGCATATGTTTTCGAGGCTTGGATAAAAGGGTAGATCTTAGAGAAAAATGAGAGAGGCCAGGCGGAGCTGCGTCCAGTGGTGGTGATGGGGGAGAAAACACTGGATACTTTGTGACAACCCCCCTCCCTTACCCTCTCCACGCTGGCGCGGCTGGGGCGGGGACCCCTCGCTCTCGGCTCGTCTCTCCCCCTTCCACGCTGGGATGGAGAGAGAGTGCAGGGGCTCCAGAGGCGCGACTGCAAGCCGCGGCGCCCCCGCTCGCTCGCTCGCTCGCTCGCTCGTTCTTCCACCTCCTCGTCGCCACCGCCACTCGGCTAAGCTCTCGGAGCGCGCTCCGGCTGCGCAGAGAGCGCCCCGGAGGGAGCCGCGAGGCCGGGGCGAGGGGCTCACGGCCCGGCGGCGGCGGCCGGGGAGCTAGCAGGTGAGCGGTGCCGCGGGGCGCCGGGCGGGCGCGGGGGGCGGCGGGGCGGGGGGCCGCGGGAGGAGGCGGGTCCGCGCGGGTGGCGGTCTCCTCCCCCTACTCTGACGCGGGGCCGGTGGCTCCCGGGGAGGATGGACCCAGCTCGGCGCTCGCCCGGGCTTCCCCGGGCTGCAGAGCGCGCCTGAGTGCCGCCGCCCGCCGGGCATGGGGAGCCGCTTCCTGGGCGGCTGCGGCAGCGGAGGAGGATGCTCTGGGCTAGGCGAGGTGAGGCGCGGCGGGGGCGCGCGGCAACCCTTGAGTTCAGCGCCGCAGGTGCCCCGCGAGGACAGGGCGCCGGGGAGCCAGGAGGCTTCGCTGGAGCCCCGGGGCGCGGAGGAGGGCTCCTGGGACGCGCCACTCAGCAGTTTGGCTAGGGGTGCTGGGAGGATGGCGACTGCAGCAGTTTTTCGCCTTCTCCCTCCACTTGCTGGGAGGAAAAGGGCGACTTCTCTTTCTCTGTCCTGCCCCCCATCCCCGCGCCCCTGTCTCCCTACTTCCGACCACGCGCGATCCTGTCTCCAGACTTGTCCACCCCTGACACGCGTCTCTCTCCAAGACCCCCTGCGCCCTCTTTCCTCCTGCGGTCCTGGCTATATCGGACCTCGAGCCTGCCTTCTCCCGCTGTCCTGGGCTCCCGAAACTCCCTCCCTCCCTCGCTGGTGGCCAGACCCTTTTCCTCATTCGGCCGAACCCCGTTCTCACTTCCCTACTCCTCCGTAGCGCTGAGATTCGGCTTCGACCTCTCGAAAAACCGACTCTATCCCAGTAATCCCAGCCCTTTCGCGGGCACCGTGAGAACTGGATCCCGCGTTCCTCGGACCCCGGCCTTTCTTCGGATCCTCTGTGGACTCTGTTCTCTGCCGCTCGTCCCCCTCCATCCACTCCCCAGCACCCCCTCCCCCCACGCCCAGCTAGTCGCCTCCCCAGCCCGCCCCTCTTCCTTCTCTCTGCTCCAGACTCGACGCTCTGACTTGGATGCAGAGAGCTCAGTTTTTTTTTCTACCAAGGAAACTTTAAATCTCTGTGGTTCGGCTCATAAAGCAGGCACACAAGAGGGTGTCAACCGCCGAGAGAACCCAGAGGCAGGGAGTCCGAGATGGGGGGAGGTCGTGTCGCGGCGTCTGAAAGGGGCCACTGGGTGAGTGTACAAAGTAAATTTCAAAACCAGGGTGGCTGCTGCAGCCAGGACCCTGCCTCCGCTGGCTGCGTCCCGAGGAGTATTATTGTGACCCCTGGTGGGAGGGCGCATCTTTTCTCTGCACTTTTTAAGGCGCTTTTTCTTTTCTCTGTTTTTGTTTTTTGGTGGTGCTGGTGGGCCTGATGGGGGGCAGTGGGCACAAGGGATCGCTGCCTGGAGAGGCGGACGCCACTTGGCTGCTCCCAGACCCGCCAGACTGTGTACGTTTCACTCCGTGTGAACTACCCCCAACCCCCAACTGCATCGCACAAATCCTCATTGTTGGGGGTCTGCTGGGGCACTTCCGCTTAGGCTGGGAGAGTCTGAAGGAATGGCGTGGGGGTGGGGAGGCCGGGGGCGCTTGGCTACCGCTCCGCTCTTGGCGGCGGGCGGAGTGGAGAGCGCCGCGACGCGGGCATCTGTGCGCTCCGGTGTGTATGTGTCGCCGAGTCTGGGGTGCGCGCCCGCGTGGGTCGGTGTCTGCGTGTGCGTTTGGATGTCGGCGCACGCCTGTGTTTAGCTCCATTAGAAAGAGGGGCGATGTAGGGCTTGCGGTAGCGAGAGCGCCTTTCTCCGCCTGGGAGCTGGACGGGGGCGAGCCCGGGGGCGAGCCCTCCTGCGAGCTGGATGCTCCAGTGCAGCTCCTAGCCAGCCGGCGGGGACCGGGGCGAGAATCCGCGCCGTCGTTTCTTCCTCCTTCCTGCTCCCTTCCTGCTGGCCGGTTAAATACACTTTAACAGTGTTGATAGTTTTGAATAAAGGCTGTGTGGGGGTTCCACTACACTTTACAACACTTAACGTTTTCAAGTAATCATATCAATTAAATTAAAGGTGGCTTACGTTCAGAACCGCCTAATTATCCAGTTCACGTTGGTACATTTATGTGCCAATTATAGGTCTTTGGGAAATCCATAAAATTACAAACCATCCCCACCCCTTGAATTAGCACCCATTGTTTTTGTGATCTCCGTGATGAGTGATTCTGGATGGCACCGGAACTGCGCAGGCACTAAGATAGATGGGGGTTCGGAGATGTCAGAAGGAGTAGGCACCCCCCCCCGCCACCCCCCCCCCCGCCACCCCCCATCTCTTTCACTCCCTATCCTGACAAGGCTTGGTGACAATTCTGGGAACTGAAAGTGATCAAAGATTTTCTTGATTTCCTATTGAGAAGGGCACCTAATCAAAGCTGTATAAAAGTCAACTTCTAAGCAATCAGAAATTGTCTGCTGATGTCCTTGATTGAAACCCCAGCATTCAAATGGAATATTGAAGAACTCGCAGAAATGTCTTTTGAAGCGCTATTGTTCTTTTCCATACACAAAGGCTCTCTTAAAGGTTTAGGAAGTTCAAAATGCAGTGGTTTGAAAGGACTGACTTTGTAACTATTTGGCAACGCTGGGAGGATCCGCAGGGATGAGAAAAGAGGCCGAAGTGGGAAGTGCAAATATGTTGTGACCATCTTCTTGGGAACGGTGCTGCTATCAAGTAGGAATTCAATTCTACACATCGAGTTGGCAATTAAATCTCTTCCTAAAGCAGATTTAGAAGATGATTTTTAGTAGTTTTTATTTTTTAATGGTTTGCTTGAGGTCTGAATAGGCATATCTGAAACATTTAATCATGTTCATTGTATTCAACGATAAAATCTGAATAAAAATTACTTATTGTTGATGAAGCTCATCTCACAAGCTGTTTCACAGTATGTTTCATTTGCAAGACACACCATTGTGTGAGGCTGCCGGGAAGAGATTGTATCACTTATTGTTCATTTTCTCCTCCCAACCCAGAGAGGAATATTCTTCTTCATTCCCCTTTGCCCTCCAAAGTAATTTTTCTTAAATGGGTGAGTGTTTGGCTTGGTACCTGATAGTACCCATCTAAAAAATTGCATTTGGTAGATTTAGGATGCTTGGAGCCACCCTGCAGGCAGATGAAGAATCTAATGGAGGCAGCATTTCATTTTGATAATTCACTCAAGTCAAACATTTTGTTTTTGCTGGGATTTAATCCTTCTCTCAAACTAATAAAGCAAACAAAGCAAGAAAATCACAGTTTATGTCTCTTAGATGGCACTTTAAAAATAGCATAAATTGAAGGGTATTGTCCGGAACTTTAAATGTTATTTAGGACTTACTGAGACAAAGAATACTCGTGGTTGAGTTAAGCAGTTGAGGATGAATCTCAACTTCCCAGAACCTTGCTTTCATCATCTGCAAAACGGACAATATTACCTACCTTGTGGGTCTTGGAGCAATTTTATGGAGAAAATCATATGATTGGGTGCTTTGGCACATAGCAGGATTTCAAGAGAATGATCTCTTAGTAATAGACAGCATGGAATTCTGTTCAAGAAAGTGGATGGCATTTGGAATTGGAAGACCAGGATTGAATCCAGCTACTTCTGACTTTGTGATGTTTGGCAAGTCACCTTTCATGTTAATAAAAAAGAATAATTAACCTTTATGGAGTACTACTAAGAGTCAGGAATGCTTCTAAGCACTTTACACATATTAACTTATTTAATCTTCAGATAACCCTAGGATGTGGATACTTGTATTCTCATTTGTATTAGCTAGATAAGGAAACTGGGGCACAGGAAGATTTGGTAACTGGCCTGAGATTACATAGCAAGTAAGGGATGGAACTAGGATTTAAACCTAGCCATTCTTGTTCCAGGGTCTGTCCTAACCACTGTTATGCTGCCTCTGAGTGAGGAAGTGATCCCAGCTAGCTCCCAGGGTGTAAAATTTAATGGAGAATAATGAAATAGTAAGACTTCTATAGGAGCAAGCTACATATTTCCCCATTTTTGGATGCTAGCAAACAAAATGGGTGTTACCTTATCATCAACAGGGAGTGGGGCAATGATAGGCACTTTGAACACTTGTGACTCTGTGGCAGTTTCTATCAGGCATTGGTTAGTATTGGTTCACATCTATTTACTCTGTGAAAATGTTTATTAATTAGGTAACAATTAGTAATCAATTAGTAAATAATTGTTTAGGCAATTAGTAACGCAGAAACAGCATTACTGCTTTTCTCAGTTACTAGCTGTGGTAAGCAGAGATTCTCAAACTAAAAGGTGGTATAGCAGGTGGTAAGGAGTCTGGACTTCGTTTCTGGACTGACTGCCTGGCTTCAGATCTCAGCTCTACCAGCTCTGTAAGCTGTGTGGCCTTGGCCAGCTAATCTAACTTCTCTGTGCTTTATAGTTTTCTTTATAATGAAATAACAGTACTTACCTCATAAAATTATGAAGATTACAGGAACTAACACAAAGTGCTTAGAATAATACCTAGCATGTAAAGTTACTTAGCTATTAGTGTTATCTTTCAAATGAGATAAAAACCCATCTCCTAGATAATGAAAAAGTTTTCCATCATTGATATTCTGAGAGTTATGTATCCCAATAGTATCTGGTCTATCTTTAGGAAGAGATACATTTTAGGATTTTAGGCAAAGGTTTTTTTTTTTTTTTTTTAATTGGAAATATTTCCTTACACATTTTGGCTCTTTGTGAAGAGGAGTTGTGGAAGTACACATCATGTTAAAATTTCCATGCCATTTTACTTTTCCGCAGTTATTCTGAGGAAAGTAAAATGACTTTGATTGAATTCTAGAGGTGTGTTTGTCAACTGTCCTAATTTACAGATTGAAAGAATATTAGGCTTGCAGAGATACGTAACTTTACAGCCCAGAGGCGCCATCGCAACTCAGGATTCTTGGACTCCTTGTCCAGTGCTCCTTTCACTAGACCAGATTGTCTCCTATACCAGGATAGAGACGTGGCTTGAAAATATAAATAAAACTTGGCAGAGGAGGTGTTGTCAGGCTAAGAGCATGAGCCAGCTAGACATTCTGTACTGAAAAAAGCATGTCAGTAGGAAAAGAAAACCCCTCCTCTGGTATGTACATTTATATCCATGAAAACTCACACTGAACTGAATCTGTGAAATGCATATCAGGATATAAATTCATGTAAAAAAATGAAAACAACTCATTAATCAAATTAATCACCTGGATATTTCCCTCTGATTGGAGAGCAAATGTTCAGATTTCTTTTTCTTTGACATGTTCTTTTTATTTTTCTTCCATTTAGTTTTGAGATGTGGGAAGGTTTTGGTTGAGGAATCATAAAACTCCTCTGGCATCTATTTTATGAAATATGTAGCATATTCTATTGGAAAGAAATTGCAAGCTTGCTTTTATTATTATTATTTTATTTTATTTGAAGCTGACATATAACCAATCTGCAATGCCAGTGGGGGAGTCTCATAAACAGAAAGGAAAATATAAATAAAATTCTGCTGAATAGAAGAGATGACAGCTAAAATGACGAAAATTTTGTGGTGGTGAAGGCGGGCTGTTTAACTTATGGTATAAAAATAAGGGGATGGGTCCTCCCAAATAGTTGTAAGTAGTTCAGCATGAACCCAAATCGGCCCTCTTGACCACCTGTAGTGAGTCTTGCAAATTACCAACCCCATGCATCTGCTCCGAGCTTCATATTGATTTACAATTTTCTTTGTTGGTCAGTCTCTGCATCTCTTGAATGGACTCATGATTTGTTTACTTGGTATCCATCAATTCAGGTATCTCTTTCTTTGCTCTTTCTCTGTCTCTGTCTTTCCTCGTTTCTATCTGCCTTTGTCACATTCAGTCTTTATGTCTCTTTGTTTTTATTCATGTTAGTGTTGCAACTGAAAATAATTGAAAAGCTGTGAATATGCATTGAGAGAATCTGGGAAATTGAGGAAGAACATTCTGGTCATGCACATAAACATCACTTCTATGTCCATTCAACAAATGTTTACTGAGCACCTACTTTGTGCTTGACTCTGGCTCTGTGCTAGGCATTGTGAAGAGTACCAAGATGCAATTGCACAGTTTGCCATCTAGGGACCTGGTTTCATGCATAAATAACTGTTACAGCAGGAGATGCGCTATGGAAAATATGTATACAGCTGTGGAACCTTCTGGAGGTGGTAATTTACTCTACCTGGAGAAAGGAAAGGCTGGGGGAAGGCTTCATTTCACCTAGGTCTTGAAGGCTGACCAGGAGTTTCTCAAGGCTTAAAGGCAGTTCTGACTGATAGGACTTCATGGACAAAGTCATGCAAGCATGAAGGATGGTTATTGACTTAGGGATGGGCATAATTGGGTACAGAGGTAATGTAGAACATGCATCAAAATGGGTTTTTTTAATAGAGCATTTTCCAAACTGTGTCCCAGGAAACACTAATGTCCCCTAAGATCATTATGAATATTTCAAAAGGAAGAAGGCTCAGAGGGAAAAATAAGTTCCATGTTCAAAAATGTTTGGAAGATATTGAATTATATATCCTGTTCTTAGTAAGATGTGGTATTTACTGATATGTTAAAGGTTCAGAGATTTTCTGCACTAAAGTCATTTAACTCATGAAGAATTTTAAAAATTCATTTGCCATAGAACCTTTGATTTCAAGTAGCATCTCTCAGTGTCTTATGAAATAGATTGGGAAAAATGTAGAGAATCACTTAAGCCTTTTAAGAGTAGTTTTCATTCTATCATGAAAATAATATGTGTGTGATTTGAAATGTAGGACAGAATATTTAACCCATTTATGCCTAGTGTTCCTTTATTGGAATGCTAAGCTTGTGGGCGTTATTTATATCCTACTGCTCAAGGTCATCACCAAAGTCTCATTTTTCACAAAAAACAATTTGCAACCTCTGGCATAAATGGGTTAAGACACACAAAAAGTATAAATAACAATATAATAAAAAGTTTTGTACCTACCACTCAGCTAATGAAATAAAGCCAGTTAAATACAGTTGAAACCTCCTGGTAACCTTTCTCTGATCATACGTCCCCTTCTCTTGGCAGACATAGTCACTATCCTAAATTTGATAATTCTTTTGAATATATTTTTCCAGAACAAACCTAAACAATTCCACTGAATTCTCTTCACTTTCTAGCTCATTACTGTATATATAATAAAAAGAAATGGTATTTTGTCCAATAATTTTCCTGAAATAAAGGACATTTATAAACTGTCTAGCTAGTCACTACATAGGTAATAAGAAAGAAATAGTATTTTGCCTAATAATTATACTGGAATAAAGGACATTTATGAACTACTTAGGGAAAGGAAATATAGCTGTCCCTTTTAACTCCGGTGTCTGGAATGTAGTAGATGCTCAATAAGTTTCTGCTTAATTGAATTGAATTAAATGTGTTCAGTCTGCTGTGGTTCATTAAGTTAATTTGGGTAAAAAGATTAGGGTAAATTGTTTTCCATAGACAATATTGAAATTCTTTGTGATCAGTGAACTTGAAAATCATTTTTTATTGTGATTCTTTATTTTGTAATCTAGATTTGGGAGTGAATTATAATAATTATCTGTTGAAAGTCATTTCTATGTTTTATTGACATCTCTTAAAATCATTAACAATAACTACTTATCCAAATCTGTCCTATTAAAACAGTCGATTCACTAGAGCTATCTACTTCCATTATAGGAAAAATTATAAATAAAACTGCTTTCATCCAAAGAGGAAATTTTAAAATTGTAATGCTATGTAATTACTCAGTACCCTGACATGAAATGCATTGAAAGTTTATGAGGTTCCATTCCTTGGGGTCCCCAAGAAATAACTTCCCATCAGTAACAGAGTGTTGTTATTAGATACTATCATGCCAACAGAAGCATCTCTTTTGATATATGCAAGGGACATCTTGAAAAAATTTACATCACCTTAAACATAAGTCATATGTGGGTGACATTTTCTTCTCTTATTGTCTCAGACTATATTCATATATTATGGTATATATGTCAACATGTAGAGTGAATGGCAGAATATTGGTGAAGAATGCATGGTAGAATGAATGAGAGGAGAAAGGAAATGGAAGACTCACAGGCTCACCGGAGGAAGCTTTTGGTACAAAATCATGGCTGTGTGGGAGACAGTAGATTACCTTCTCTCATGGGGTTAGAAGTTGATCTACCCTAGGGTTTTCTATCCTTGCTTTCACTGATATATATTTCTCCTGGTAGTTTTTGTAGTAGCAGTTAAATCCCAGCAGTTAGCAGAACAAGAATGAACTTTGTGGTGTGAATGATCATAAACATAGAAAAACGCTGCACAGAGGGTAAGGAAGAGATGCTGTACAATCCTAGTCCCTGGTGATGGTGTAGCAGTACCTATAATGATGGCATGTGGTGGTGCTTGTCTTGAATTGCAGGCCATGTTATTCTGAGCAGTATTATATGTCTACTCACGAAAGTTCTAGGTATAAGCCACATCCATTCAAATATACTCAGGTTAAACCAGTAGTGCTAGTAATCTAATTGTGGACAAAGTCAAAGATGGGCCAACCATATGCTGAATCTGAGCTATGGCATGTGTTGTCAGAATATAGTTCCAATAAATGCAAAAAGGTTATTTATGCCTTTGGGAAGCTGAATAGATTTATAGACCACATAGAAGTTGGATTTTTGCCAACCTTCTGCTATCTAACTTCTTAATTTTAACGTAGTTGAATTTATCAATCTTTTATGGTTAGCACTTTTTATGTCTTGTTTCAGAAAGCCTTTTTTTTCCCACTCTGATGTCATGAAGATATTCTCCTTTGTTGTCTTCTAAAAGCTTTATTGTTTTGTTTGCCTTTCAAATTTAGGTTCTCTAATCCATGTGGAGTGTGTGCATATATGTGTGTGTGTGTGTGTGTGTGTGTGTGTGTGTGTTGTGTGAGGTAGGCATTTATTCTAATTTTCTTTCATATGGAAAAATGATTTTCCTGGAACTTAGAGTCAATTTCTAAGCATATGTTTTAGCCACTCTTTTGCCCTAACCAAACTTTATTATAGCTTTTTAATGAATCTTGGTATTGGCCAGGACACATCCCTAAAAGTGTCCTTCTGCAAAAGTGTCTCAAGAGTGTCTTGGCTTTTCTTGGGCTGTTTTCTTCCGTATACATTTTATAATCATCTTTCAAGGTTTCACAAGAATACTGTTGAGATTTGATTTGAGTTTTATCAAACTTATAGACTGATTAAAAGATAATGCCATCATTAGGACATTGAGCCTGAGTCTTTCTATCTGTAAATGTAGTAACTCTTTCCATTTATTTAGTTCTTATTTAATGTCTTTCAATACAGTTTATAATTTTCTTCAAAGGGCATGCACTCTTTTTAGATTGAGTTTTAGGTGGTTTATATTTTTGTAATTGCCATTGTAAATGTTATCTTTAAAATTATATTTTCTAGCTATATATTAATTTTCATCATATGCTACCTGTATTTCTTATTCTAAATGGCAAATAGTCAGGAGAGGAGGAAAATCATGGGTGTTTTTGAATGCTTACTATTAAATAAATTCAGGCATCCATGGGAGATACGGCTGGTTCCATTCCAGGCCACTGCAATAAAGAGAATATTGCAATCAAGTGAGTCACACAAATTTGTTGGTTTTCCAGTGTATATAAAAGTTATGTTTACACTATACTGTAGTCTGTTAAGGGTGCAATAGCATTATGTAAAAAAATCAATGTACATACCTTAATTGAAAATACTTTATTGCTCACATATGCTAATGATCAGCTGAGCCTTCAGCAAGTCATAATCTTTTTGCTGGTGGAGGGTTTTACCTCAATGTTGGTGGCTACTGACTGATTAAGGTGGTGGTTACTGAAGATTGAAGTAGCTGGGTCAGTTTCTTAAAATAAGACAATAATGAAGTTTGTCACATTGATTGACTCTTCCTTTCATGAAAGATTTCTCTATAGAATGCAATGCTGTTTGACAGTATTTTACCCACAGCAGAACTTTTTTCAAAATTGGAGTCAGTCCTCTCAAACCCTGACACTGCTTTATCAATAAGTTTATGTAAATCCTTTGCTGTCATTTCAACAATCTTCACAGCATCTTCACTAGAAGTAGATTCCATCTCAAGAAACCACTTTCTTTGCTCATCCATAAGAAGTAACTCCTTATCCGCTAAAGTTGTAGCATGAGACTACAGCAATTCAGTTTCATTTTCAGGCTCCACTTCTAATTCTAGTCCTCTTGTTATTTGTATCACATCTGCAGTTCCTTCTTCCACTGAAGTCTTGAATCCCTCCAAGTCAGCCATGAATCAACTTCTTCCAAACTCCTATTAATGTTGATATTTAGACTTCCTTTCATGAATCACAAATGTTCTTAATGGCATCTAGAATGATGAATTTTTTTTTTTTTTTTTTTTTTTTTGAGACAGAGTCTTGCTGTGTCGCCTGGGCTGGAGTGCAGTGGCGCGATCTCAGCTCACTGCAAGCTCTACCTCCCGAGTTCAAGCCATTCTCCTGCCTCAGCCTCTCGAGTATTTGGGAGTACAGGCACCTGCCACCATGCCCGGCTAATTTCTTTTTGTATTTTTAGTAGAGATGGGGTTTCACTGTGTTAGCCATGATGGTCTCGATCTCCTGACCTCGTGATCCACCCGCTTCCGCCTCCCAAAGTGCTGGGATTACAGGCATGAGCCACCGCGCTGGGCCACGAATGATGAATTCTTTACAGAATATTTTAAAATTATTTCACCAAGATCTATCAGAAGAATCACTATTTATGGCAGCTATAGCCTTATGAAATGTATGTCCTAAATAATAAGACTTGAAAGTCAGAATTACTCCTTGATCCATGGGCTGCAGAGTAGATGTTTTGTTAGCAGATGTGAAAACAACATTAATTTCCTTGTATGTCTTCATTAGAACTCTTGGGTGACCAGGTCTGTTGTCAAGGAGCAGTAATATTTTGAAAGGAATCTTTTTTTCTGAGCAGTAGGTCTCAACAGTGGACTTAAAATACTCAGTAAACCATGGTGTAAACAGATGTTCTGTTATTCAGGCTTCATTGTTCCATTTTTAGAGTACAGGCAGAGTAGATTTCGTATAATTCTTAAGGGCCCTAGAATTTTCACAATAGTAAAGTAGCCAGCTGCATTCACCCCTAACGATAGAGTCAGTCTGTCTTTTGAAGCTTTGAAATCAGGCATTGACCTCTCCTCTCTAGCTGTGAAAGTCCTAGATAACACCTTCTTCCAATATAAGGCTGTTTTGTCTACATTGAAAATTTGTTATGTGGTATAACCAACTTCATCAATGATCATAGTGAGATCTTCAGGATAACTTGTTGTAGCTTCTATATCAGCACTTACTGCTTCACCTTGCACTTTCATGTGATGGAGGTGGCTTCTTTCCTTATAATTCATGAACCAAGGTCTTCTAACTTCAAAATTTTCTCTTCAGCTTCCTCACTTCTCTTAGCCTTCATAGAATTGAATAGAGTTAGGGCTCTAAATCAGGATTTGGTTTAAGGAAATACTGTGTCTTGTTTCATCTATCCACACCACTAAAATTCTTTCCATATCCACTATCAGGATATTTCTCTTCCTTATCAGTCATGTGTTCACTGGAACTGCACTTTTAATGTCCTTTAATCTATATCTTGTTTGCCCTGAGAAATAAGTACTGGCAGTGAGCTGCACAGAGTGGGTTGAGATCTTTTCCTTTGCATTCACGACTTGGCTGTCTGGCACAAGAGGCCCAGCTTTTAGCCTCTCTCAGCTTTCAACATGCCTTCCCCACTAAGCTTAATCATTTCTAGCTTTTGATTTAAAGTGAGAGACTTGTGACTCTTCCTTTCACTTGAACACATAGAAGCCATTGTGGGGTTATTAATTGGCCTATTTCAATATTGCTGTGTCTCAGTGAATTGGGAGGCCAGAGGAAGGGGAAAGTAGACGGGGGAACTGCCAGTCAGTGGAGCAGTTAGAAAACATACAGCATTTATTTATTAAGTTCATTGTCTTATGTGGGCATGGCTCATAGTGCCTGAAAGCAATTACAGTAGTTTCATCAAAGTTCACTTATCACAAATCATCATAATAAGTATAATAATAATGAAAACGCTTGAAGCATTGTGAGAATTACCAAAGTAGGACAGAGACACAAAGTGAGCACCTGCTGTTGGAAAATGATGGTGATAGACTTGTTTGATGCAGGGTTGCTACAAACCTTCAATTTGTAAAAACATGCAATAACTGTGAAGTGCAATAAGGCGAAGTACAATAAAAGTAGGTATGTCTGTACTAGGTGCTTCACAGGCTCTCATTTGATACCTAGAAAAGCCTTAAGGAAAGGACTGTGGGTGACTTAGCACCACCCTCGACAGGTCACTGCCCTCCTTTGCAGCCTGATAGTGCAGAGGGCTTAAAAGGACATCTTTTGTCCCAATGGGCCAGTGGGGATGCGGAGTAGGGAATGGAGCTAATGAGAGGGTGATCGACCAGGGTAGCCGCTAGTCACTTTGTTCAAGAGGCCGAGGTTTTTGAAAGACATCTCTGGGTTTCCTATGGAGAGAGAAGGGATCTGCAAAGGAGGGTACAGTTCTCTTCTGGTTAGACACCCTGTGGAGTGTGAATAACAGGTGCTGGGGCCTGGGGGCCAGAGTCTGGCTGCTGACACACTACTCTGGCATTTCGGATAGACCACAGTTATTTGGCTGCCCAATGGGCAAATTTTGGCTGGTAGCCCAGTTCTAGCTTGACTTTTCAGGCATATCTTAGGTCAGTGAATGTTATTCCCACTTTCAAATGAGGAGCCACAGGCCTACAGAAATAGAAAGATGAGTCCAGGTCATTAAGCAGAGCTAGAATAGAGACCCAGGTCTCTGCACCCAAACCAGTGCTCTTTCCATTTCATCACACGGACTTAAGATCCTCAAATATACTATGTCAATAATATAGTCAAATACTGGCAGGGTTTTTGACTATGTGAGGAAGCACCATTATGTCTGGAAATTGTAACATATATCTGTAAAAAAATGGGAGAGAGATATTTGGTGATTACTATCTGCCAATTCTCTCTCTGTCTCTCTGGTATCCCTTGTGCCATTAATCTTTCCGTAAGTTCACTCTTACTCTTTCTCCCCAAATTATTTTAGGATCCAGGGCAGATATTCATTTCCCTCCAACAGTCATCCCTTATGACATCAGTACTGGTGATAAAATTTCAAATTCCTCTTCTTCCCTGAGCAAATGCTGTAACTCCTTTCCCCTTCTCTCACATGTTTCGTTGTGTTTTCTGGAATGAAAATATATACAGTACTAGTTTAGGTTGATATGAAAAAGGACGTCTCATATAAAACAAGATTAAGGAAAAGAAAAGACAACCACTTGGTTAACCTGATACCACTCTGATATTTTCTGTGTGCTGTCTGTGGGTTCATGTGAGTCAGGCTAGATATCATTCTGTATATATTTGACTGTTCAGAATGTATCAGTGGAGAAGGACGTCTTGATTTGTTTGAGAAGCCATAAATCAACACGGCTAGGAGTAAGAGGGGCAGGGAGGAGGGGGACTTGGGGACTGGACTAGCATTGCTTTCTTTAAAAAATAAAGGTCATACAGCATAGGCTCAATCTAAGTTTGACACCTGCCTCTGCCTGCCTTTCCAAGGTATGTGTCTCTTTCTTAGGCCTCTTGAGCACCGGATTCTGTTAAACACCATACTTCATTATGTCTTCAATTGTTCTGTTCCACATCTATTGATCTAGGTTCCTCTAAAGATTGAGAGTTTCTGAAGGCTACTATCTTTCATGCCCTTTATACTTGGCTTTTTGAAGAAAGTCAGTTTAAACACTTGCTACATTTAATTTTTAAAGTCTACCATCACTGTTTTTGTTTTTTTCTTTTTTTACAGTAGAGGGGGAAGTGCCCCTGTAGTGAACTATTTTGAGTCAATGAAAACAAAAGAAGAGTTTTCTACATTGAGACATGCTTTTAATTTCTTATTATTCCCAAACTGTGCTTTTTCTTTATTTTCTTATCCTTTTCTGTCCTGTCCTTTCATTCTTCCTTTCTTTCCTTTTTACCCTCCAGTTTTATCAAATCAAAGGAATTGCACGAAATCAACAACAAAAAGGCCTAAAGGTTTGTAGTGCGATTTTACACAGTTAATAGAATGTGTTTGCTTCCTCTCTTGCATACATTTTTCAGTGGGGGAGGAAGTTTTTGAGAGTAGTTGAGAGGTGGACTTTCTAATTCCTTGTCAAATCCCACAGCATAGTTATGCAAGTATTTGACATGTGTGATTGTTTGCCTGGTGGATTATCTGATGCTAGTTTTTGTTTGTTTGTTTGCTTTTTGGAGACGGAGTCTAGCTCTGTCACCCAGGCTGGAGTGTAGTGGCACAATCTCAGCTCACTGCAACCTCTACCTCCTGGGTTCAAGTGATTCTCCTGCCTCAGCCTCCCGAGTAGCTGGGATTACAGGCACCCACCACCATGGCCAGCTAATTTTTGTATTTTTAGTAGAGATGGGGTTTCACTGTGTTGGCCAGGCTGGTCTCGAATTCCTGACCTCATGATCCGCCCACCTCGGCCTCCCAAATTGCTGGGATTACAAGCGTGAGCCACCACGCCCAGCCCCTGATGCTGGTTTAAAGTTAACCTACAGATTGAAACTCTGTCAGTCAGTATGTGTGGGGTGTAAAAGTGTCTCTCTGTGCTAACCCTGAACACACCCAAAACATAACAGCCACACTACCATGACTTCAGACACAATCTCATACTTTTAATGACATGCCCTGTATCTGTGACAGCCAGGAGATCCATACCAGCTTAATAGGAAGAACTTAATACAGGAAAGCAGTTACAAAGGTGTTGGAAGAACTGAAAGTGTGACAAAGAAGCGAAAGACAGAGATTAGCAGTAGGAGGAAGCCAACCTACCTCTAGATCAGTAACACTATCTGCTACCTCTGTGGTATGATAGACCCCAGGAGGTGCAGCCCCCAGGAGGCAGGTGGAACCTTTGGAGGACAAGCCACATGGGGAAAAAGGCCAGGAGTTGGGCTGCCGGAAGCATAGAAGAGTCTGCATGGTGGGAGTGGGCACCACACATGGATGTTCTGAAACCATGGAGGAGACTCCACCACGTCTAGGGGTGCTACCGTGAAGCAGAAAGAGAAAAAGGGAGATAAATACCCTGTCTTCCCCTCCTCCCCTCCTGTCTTTTGCCAGTGTTTCCCAGTGAGTGAATCTAACTGGAAATCAGCTGACAAGGGCGCCTAAGAAATGTGGTTAAGATCAACTTTCTGCAACACTCCATGGAGCAGGGGAAGGGGCCAGGAGTGGATCTGAGAGAAACAGGAAAAGGACCTGTTCATAGAGCGGGAAAATAAACCTCCAACAGAAATGTTTGTTAATATTGTGAGCTACAGGCAAACAATGAAGGGAGACACTTGCTGTTTGGGATTAGCTCCTCATTTCTCCTACCGTATCCCATCCATCCTGGCCCTTGCAGAAAATTGAGAGTGACTCAGCTGGCGGTGGACTCTGTATTGGCAAGGCAAGCTGTGTGAGTGTTGGGTGCCCAGGGAGTAGGGCAGCAGCAGTGGGACCATGCAGTCCCTTTTCTGCAATTCCAGAATCTAAAAGGCTCTGAAACTCAAGATTTTGGGTAACTCATTTAGTGGTAAAACCTATCCTGACTTGAAGTGACATGAGGCTACTGAGAATCTTTATTGATCCCCGTGAGTAGGAATAGTCACCCATTTGTTCCAGAAGCATTCATGAGTTACATTACGGGGTGTCACCTCAAACCCGGGTAGGGCTATTACAAATAAAAGATAAATGTGGTGTAGTATATGCTGCCTTTTCTAAAATCCAAAATAAAGTCTGCATTATGAACACATTAGATCCCAGGAAATTTGGATAAGGGATTGTAAACCCATATTTCAACATGAAGTAGGGAGAATGAATGGAAACACGATGTGCTAGCTTGCAGGTCTCAGCAGCGCTTGTGTAAACATTACAGCTCTGGCATTCTTCAGTTCCCTCTCTCAGTCCCTGTAGCCTGACAGAACAACCCACTCATTCTGTAGAGGAGCAGACTTTGCTTAGAGAGGAGACGTGGGCATACAATATTGTAAAGTCACCAAGGAGTTAGTAGTGGAGTCAGAACCATTTATTTCCCGTTTGCTGTGCAAGATGTTTGCTGTGTAAAGTCTGACTCTTTGGTCTCATCAAACATTTAAATGCTGGACATTTAGATGTAATGAAGGAAGCCAGCGGGTGAATATCTAGGTAAATCCACACTCTAGCAGTGGTAATCTTACATTTGTCAAGTATTTCATATATGTACAAACACACACACACACACACACACACACACACACACACACACACTTCAGATATCTTCCTCTTCCATCTTCACAACAGTCCTACCAGATAGACAGGATGGCCATTCGTATCCCCATTTTACAGATGGTCAAATCAAGGCTTGGCTGATAACTAGCTCTGTGACCATGGGCAAGACTCTTCACTCTCTGGGCCTCGGCCGAAAAATAAGTTCTTATAGGGTTGTTTTGTAAACACAAAGAAGTAACACATGCAACACAATTGAACTATACCTGGTACACAGTGACATGCCACACAGGGTCATTCTTCTCTCCTTCAGCCTTTATCTTCAGACAGTGAAATGCATTGCACAAAGTCACACCGCTCTTCCCTTTGTAAAGGACATGCCTCAGGATAGTAAAGAGAATTCAGTAGTTGAATGATGGCAGAACTCTCTCTTTGCTTCCGTTTTTATTTTTTCTTTTTCAGCTTTAAGAGGAGGGGCTTGAACTAACGCCATCCTGTGCTAACTCTCTCTTTCTCCCTTCAAAAACTAGGTCACGTTTTGCTGTGACCTTGGTGGTCTCTATTGTCTTCACAGGTTAGGAGACAGTTTGACATTTTGTTTACTCCAAATCCTACTGGCGCGGGGAAAACAGTCACCACCACAAACACAATTTGCTACAGAAAGCAACTTTATGTCTTGTGAGCACACATGGGACTTTATCATAATTCACTTTAGATGGGAATAATAAAATATTTTCTTTTCTGAGTATTTTGCAAGATTAATAAAGCTGCATTCTTAGGGAAAGTTTATTAATCCATAACTTACAGAAAACTCCAGAGGAAGTAGATATGAGATATGTTCTGTAGGTAAAAATATCATGCATGTCACTGCTAGAATTGAATTCTGCATGCATTCTTCTGGTTACATTACCATTTGCTGATATGATGGTGACTTTGTCTTGGACATGATCTAAACAAGCAACTCTTTCATTTTATTTTTAAATTGGGAGGGTGTGAAGGAGTAGGTGGAAATACAGAAAAATCACAGCCCACAGGATTCGGATCCTTTCTATCCTGTTGGCTGCATTTCAGCTAAATTTGACAGAAAGGCATGTGTTTGGACACTGGCATCTTTGCATACAAGCTGTGGGCACTGGGTCTCTGAGATCTGTCAAATGGAGATTGCGGTGCTGGTGGCAATGATGATGCAATGATGAAGATGATGGTGATGAGGAGGATAATGGCTACCTCAGTGCCATTACAAGGAGTAATGATTTATGTGAAAGGGCCTTGTGCTCTAGCACTTCATCCATTTATTCAGTATTTATTGAGCTGCTGCAGGGTACCTGGCAGAATTGTGGAATCCATGGACATTACCCTATAAAAGCCACAGACTTTTTCCCACAAGACCCAGGAAGAGACAGGGAAGCACAAATAAACAAATAATAATGTGGTGGCTAAGTACAACCAAAGAGATATTTGTCGAAGTAAAAAATAAGATATAGGGATGAATTTTGCCAGAGTAAGAGTAAGGGAGGGTTAGTATCTAAGTATTTTGAGGGTGCCTTGGGATTTTCTGGTGAGTCTTTCATGCATTAAGTATGTTCTGAATACTGTGCTGGGCTCTGGGCTTACAGGGTGAGGTGTGATGGAAACAATAGCTGCCCTCATGGGCTAGTCTGTCTACTAAGACACAAAATCAACGTTCTCCATCAGGGGACCATGACAAAGTTGGAGGCATGTGCCATCACATATGGGGAGTCCCAGGTAATTTGGTATGAATGGATCATAAAGTGGCGGGGTGGCAGGAACCAGGGGAAATGAGGCAGGGAAGGTTTGCCCAGCAACTTCACAGAGAACCTTGTCACCAAGTGTTAGCAATGAGATTTTGGTTGTGCACATGGATGTGAAATAGCCTTTACTTTGTGTAGCCTTCTCTGCAATTAACTTTATTTTCCTATTGCCTGGGGTCAAAGAGCAATCTAAGAAGAAATATATTTATTTAGGTGAAATAAGGATGTGTGTGTATCAGGTACGGTATAATTTAATGATCCTTCAGGTGTCTCCTGTTATAAGAACTACAAGCTCAGATGCTTACAAGGGCCAGGTGTTTGTGGGTGAAACAGTGTGGGTGGGGACCAGGTAAACCGCTGTTAAGGTTCATCTGATGGTTGCAGTAACAGAATACTGGACTCATGTAGGTCTTTGGCTTTTTCAAGAAAAGCTAGACATCTTGTTTTCGTGTGAAATCCCTCTGTTTAAAAATTTGGCACTAAATTAGGTAAAACAAAAAATATTTTGTGGACTAAAGATAACTGGCCTAAGGGCTTTTCTTAGCTTATGAACCACCACTGGTGAATTCTGGCCTGTTCTTTATAATTAGTATGGTATGACTACATAGATCTCCCTCACGTGCAAGTTCAGTCAATATACCAAGGGGTACATTGGACCATTTCCGGTAAAGGAAAAAGTTTCTGCAGGATAGCCGAATGGTGCAAATTGGCCTTCATTTATTTCTGTGTGTTTCCTCAATCCCATTGTTTGTTTTTCTTTATCAAACTCTTCTGTTACATGGCACAAGCTTCCGTGAAACCAGTGTCCATGGCAATTCTGGGGTGTTCTTAGCTGTTTGCTGGACAGCAGTGAAGTTTGTATCTGTCTAAGTCTATAGCTGCCTTAATTCAGCTTGTTATGTTCTGCTACCAAGGGCATATCCTTGCAGTGAGTCAAATGCGTAGTTTTAGGGTCTGTAATGACAGCATTCTGTGGCTTTCTCATTTAAGATTGAGATACCAGCCACTAAAATATGCACATTTCAAACCAGAGCGAGAACATGAGCAACTTAGTAGTTACTGTGGAATTGAGTGAATGTCATAAATATTTATTTATCTTTTTCATAGCTAGTATAAAACTGTTAGGATATAAAAAAGTTGTTCACAATAAAAACAACAGAAAATTCATTGGCTATACATCTTTTGAATGTGTGTGTCTCTTTGGGTTTTCATTAGCGTCTAGCAATATACTTTGAGAAATTAAATTTGAACAGAAGCTTCAGCAGAATATGAAAACTTCTAGTGTTCATAATTAACCCATTTTAAGCAAGGATCCATTGCATATAGCAGTCTCCTGTTAACCATGTAGTGGCTACAGTCAAGTGTAATGAATTTTTCTTTCAGTATTTTTTTCTCAAGAAATTCCTTCTTCCTTGTTTTTTGAATTTGAAAAACACAAAAAAAGCATAAAAGAGAAAAAAAGTCATTTATACTTCTACCCAGTGGCAATTGCTTTTCATATTTTTAATTCTAGAGAGAAAGAGGCTAGGGTTTGAGGTCAGACCAGCATGGGTTCCATTTCAGTCTTCTTCCTTCACTTAATCTTGCCAAGTCTTAATTTTCTCATCTGTGAAACGGGAATAAAGATATCATCTATTTTATCTGCTATTTTGATTAATAAAACAGATATTGCATTAAGCATTTAGCACATTGTCACATAAAAATGTTTTTAAAATTAGCTATTATGATTATTTTTCTATTTTTTGCTAGACGTGTTTTACTTTGTGAAGTTTATTCTGTCAATACATTATTTTTCATTAAAAACTCTCATTATTCCCATATCTCTTTAAAAACAGTTTCTAAATGTCCTTTTTATAGTTCCTTAATAGTTTTTTACATGCCTGTATCATAATATACCCTTCTCTTTGTATATTAAAGTCATTGTTAATTTTTTTTTAACATAATGCTTTGATGCGTATCTTAACACTTGGATGAATATCTTCATTCAGTAATCTCTTGTGGCAGTTTGACTTCCTGGTTAGTGTGGTGACTACACCCTCCATCTAGAATGGGCAGAATGACTGCCATCATTTTCCACTGGAACTTTTGACAATGATGGGAATGTTCTATATCTGCACAGTACAATATAGTAGCCACTAGCACATGACTGTTGAGTATTTGAAATGTAGCTAGTGAGACTGAGAAACTGAAAAATTTTCTACATTTAATTTTATTTAATTTTACTTTAAATGGCCCCGTGTAGGTAATGGCTATTATACTGGACAGCATGGGCTTATATCATTCTGGTTCAAAGAATAGAGTGAACGTAGGCTGGGATTTTGTTTTCCATACTGACATATCCATAAAAAATTTGTTTTTTTCTGGTCTTTTAACCCCTAGTACAGTCTCAAGATACTGTATTTTTCCTTTCTATACCTTCTTTTAATTTTGAAGGAAGGTTGGTAGAGGGTGCCTCCCATGCCTGCTACCATGTTAAGTTAGAGGCTTGAGTTTAGAATTTTGACTCTATGTGGGCTCTTTAGGTTGTTAATGACAAAAGTCTAGCTTATTCTGGCTTCAGTCTGCAAGAGAGTTTTCTGGCTCACATAAACAAGTCCAGGTGTAGCCTAGTTGCAGCTATGGCTAGAGCCAAGAGCTCCATCAACTGTTTCCACACCACAGCTTTGCCTTCTCAGTGCTGGCTTTGTTAGTAAGTAGGTTCTCCCCAAGCAGTGGCACTGATGGCCACCAGCGATCCAGGCTCAAATCCTACTAGTTCAGCAACCCTAGCAGGAGATAGGGCTTTTTCCCAATGGATCCACAGAATGGCCTAAGGCTGGCTTTCAGTGGACCTATTCTCATTCCTGAACCAGTCACTATGGTCAGGATTGAGGAGGTAGAATTCATACTCAATGGCCGGGACTGGACCTCTGCAGCCAGACGGTGAGGTCAGCCCCACCAAAATGTATGGACTAGAACTGGGATAAGAAAATGATTTCCCAAAGGAAAATCAGAGTGGGAAATGCAGGTTTATAACAGTTGAATAATCTGACCTGTATCTTTGAAGCCTTCTTGGGTCTCCCAGTTTTCTTCTTGGGAAAGCCAGTTTGTTGGGCAGGGGTTGGGGGTGAGGGGAGCTGGATTTTCTGTCCTGTGAATTCAATCTAATTCACATAGCAGGCTTCTATCATTTAATGGGACCATTCTTTTATTCAGAGGAAGGGTCCTGGGATGCATCTTTCAATTATTAGAGCATTGGGATGTTTGGATTCTGTCTGGTCTTGCTCTGTCTGTGTTTATGACAGTATACTTGCAAGCTAATTTCTCCTCTCTAGGAAGTAGGTAACTATGCCCCAGAGAGTTAACAATGTAAGTAAATCGATACATCTATTGTGATTATTTTTCTTTATGAATGAGGCAGAAAATATATTGCCTAAGCTCCTTCTTAGAAGAATCTGAATCAAAGCTGATGGGATTTGCATATCAGACTCCAGATAATCTAGGAATCAGGTAGAGAGTGGGCACTTCAGTCCCCAGCTGGTGTATTGCAGCAATATCTTGGGACTTATGGGTGTAATTAAACCATCCCTATTAGTAATTACAAAAAAGGACTCACTGCCCTTAAACGTGACTGTAACATATCACATCTTTGTAAAAGCATGAAGCTATTTATTTAATCAGCAAAGTCCATGTAGAAAATGTTTTATTAATATTCCAATTTTCTGATTCAACCCTTTGTGTAATAAAATATGGTGACTAAAACAGTTTCCTTTTTACTGCTCTTGCTCAGCCTTATAAGAGAGATTGAAATTTTGTAGCACCATTTATGCCAATTTTTTTAAACTCTCCAGCATAAAGCATATCAGCAAATTAATATTTCCTGACTACAAGATGAGATTGACCTCATAGGTATAAGTTCATTTCTTGTTCTAACATCTACTGTACCGTGAAATTAGAGGTCTTTTTCTTTATCTCTGTCTCTCTTTTTTTACCTCATTTTCATTGTGGCAAGACTGCTAATATATCATCAACTTTTAACTAGTAAGTCACTATTGTATAATGGTGTCATTATGCAATGTCATGAACACAGCTTACTTTTTAGTGTTGTTTTATTACAGCTGGAATCATAGAGAGGTTCTCCAATGTTTGAAAGGGACCTAAATGATGAAGCTCAGTTTTAGCAAATCTCCATGGTCACCTCTGCTGAGTCATCTATGCTGAATTGAGTTACCTTTGTGCAGGCAAAGGAAATGAAGCCCTGGCAGGCTGTGTAGCAGAGAGTCCTAGGATAAAGTAGAATGTATGGGTTCTAATCTCAGGTCTGTCGGAAAATCTGTGTGTCCTTGAACTGCTGACTTGGGCTCTCTGGACCTACATATTCTCAATTGAGATGAAAGGGTTTGGATGGGTGATCACTAAGATCCCTGCTCACTGTGTGATTTTATGCATACTGTGATGCTTTCATATCTTCATATCTCTGCAGTAATGCTTAATGACTATAGTTGGGAGTTGCAGGCACTCTCTCAGAAGCCTTCCCAGACCTAAGCTCTCTCCATCCCTGTTCCTACTGTACTTTTGACAGATGACATTGTATATCAGAGTGGGTGTTTGTATGTGTGTTGCCTTCCTACCAGCCTGTAAGGGCAGGTATCTTTTCATATATGTTTTTTCATTTATGAAAGTATTTTGAATTATGCACTTAATAAATATTTAGCAACCACATGAATAAACTACATTGCATTTTAGAGATGTTATAGGGAAAGAGAAAACAAGATACAAATAGGTCTGAAAGGAGATTCCTATATAGTTGTTGTGAAATTGCTTATATACTTATACCATGTAAAATAAATTCAGTCGTTTCTTTGGGAGATTTCATCTTAATATATATGAAATGCCAAATTTTTCCAGTTGAGTGTAGAGGTAAATCATTTCATGCACATAATTGAATGCTTTTATACTTATCTGATTATTTAGCACCTTATGGTAGGACCGTGCTGTGCTACTAATCATGTCAAAATATGGCCTTTTTGGTGGTAAGTTCCTTTCGGCACTTTTTTTTTTTTTTAAGAGAGAGCTTTCACCCTTCTCACTGGTGTTTAGAGACTGTTTTTGCATGGCGTCTGGGAAAGCTGGTCTGCAAAGCAAGACGATGTGAATACATCTCCCCAAATCAATGAGAATTGTGCTGTCCTCTAGAAAATTAGGTTTGAGCCACATCAACGTCAGTGCCTGAGACGGAATAAATCCCATTTCATGATTGCTCTTTGTATGACTTGTGTAATGTGTCTAGATGGGCACAAGCTATGATTGCTTCTCTCTCCCCAGCATTACTAGATGGTAATGCAGTGGATTTGTGTGAGAATTCTCTCAAATAAACAGGCCAGGATACGTGAGATAATTTAGGGCCCACACTTGAGAGACCTCCGTGGAACTGTGTAAGATGTTACTATTAACCAGAAACAATGTGAAAAATACTTTTTCTGGCTTGTTAAAAAAAAAAAAAAAAGACTGATACTGGCAAGTAGTGCTTGAATAATCTTGCCTCATATAGTGTCATGGTAGGTCCACCATGGTTGTATTAGTGGAAAGAACCATCTACTTTGCACTTATTGGGAGTTTATGGACAGGCAGGTACCTCTCATAAACTTTGTTCATTCAGCCACTTGAAATAAGCCACGTGGGTTATGTGCCACGCAAAATTTCAGTAATGGGTTTTGGGAGTGTTTAGATAGCAACAACTTCATAGACTGAACCTTTTGGTTTTTTTTTCTTTCTCTCCAACTCAGAGGTTAAAAATTAACCTGAAAAATCAATGCTGCAATATGAATGCGCTGTATGTTTCTTGCATGGACTTGCAGACACTCTGTAACGGTGTTTCCAGTCTCCAGCAGTTCATATTGGAAGGTGAGCTTTCACATGGACAAGCCCTTTGCGTTGCCAAGTAGTAGTGATATTACAAGTTTGAAAGACATTTAGATGATAATTCCAAAGGCCCTCTTATCTCCAAATCCATCAGAAGCTACCTATAATTTCAGTGCAATGAGTGCTGGGCATAGGTGGCCATTCAGTGAGTGAGTACCCCAACCTTTGGGAAGATAAGACAGGCTATTCTAATCCAGCTGTACCCATATAGAGCAATTATCATTTTCACTCTGGCTCCCAATGCCTTAGATTTACTGGGTCTTCATTGCAAGGCAGGAACCTTGGAGTTAATTGAATTCATTGGACTATTTATGGCTGGAGCTGATGCATATGATTTTTCTCTCTTGAATATGAATGATCAGCTTCCATGGGAAAGCAACAATAAAGTCAGTCCAAGCTGTGTAGCTTACTAGCTGTATGACCTTGGGCAAGTCACTTTACTTCTATCAGTCTCATTTTTCTTATCTGTAAAATGAAGGCTTCTTACCATTGACGTTCTAAGATATATAGATAAGATTCTGGTTTTTAAAATGTGCTTACTAGACCAGTGAGCTGATGAGAGGCATTTAGGTCATATGTACTCTCCAGATTACTGGGATTCTTCAACTTGGCCTACCTTCTAAAGCATATACTTATTATACAAGCAAATATGCCTGTCAGTGTCCTAATTTACTTCAGAAATGATTTAAGCCTAGAATCGCAGGTTTGAATTAATATTAATATTTGATTTAATTAGGACAATTCCATCTTGAGATCAGGAAACTATGCCATCCATCCATCCATCTATCATGTTATGGTCTTATTCAGTATTTATTAATATTAAGCACCTGCTATATGCTTGGTGCTGTGCACAGTGCTGAGGAAACAAAGAAGAATAAGATTCAGTCGCTGTCCACAAATCTCTCCTCACCTTCCACAAAGAAAAAAAGACCCTCACACTAAAAACCAGTTGCTCTTAATGGCATTGCCTTTTGGTTCTGTGTGGCTGGCATCATGTTAATGGTGAGTTGGTGACCTCCAATAGAAAAGAAGAAAAAAAAAGTTCCTCAACTCTGGCTTATGCAAACATCTTTAATCATTTCAAGCTTCAACTACAGACCAAATTGGAAGGAAGAGCTGTGAAAAGCCCATTTATAAACAAAAGCCCGGCCAGGAGTCGGACTGCATTTCCCCAGAAGAAGGACTTCAATACCAGGAGAGCACACATTCAAAACCCTAAGCCAGCCTTCAAGTCAGTGTTCAAAGGAAGGAAAGGCCACACAGAAAATGAAATGTAATTGGGTACCCTGTGAGGAATGGGACAAAACCCAGGAAGCCTTGCAAAGCTTCAGTATGGCTGTCCCCAAGCCCAGAGGCGGCATCTCCAGCCTTCAGACAGTGGCAACCGTGTATGTTGTTAAGACGTTTGGGGAGTTATGAAATGCAGGATAGAAGAGTTTGCCCCTGACTTGTAAACATGGGGTGTTTTGCCTTTCATTTTAAGATAGGAAAGAAATACATTTTTAAAAATTAACTCCCAAATCAAAAGATGAAAGTGGAATGAACTATTTCTGGATAGGGAGAGGTTTGGAGTGTCATTTAACATACTGACTGTCTCTCAGCAAAGTTCCCAAAGGGGAGAAAAATATTCCGAAACAAACAAACAAATAAAAAACAATTAAGTCTCTGGCATCATTTAAAAAGACCCCTTTCCTGCAAGTTTTTATTATCTGCTTTTTCAGCATCACTGCCTGTTGAACTCCTCCTTATCTTTCAATGCCCCATCAGTTGCTCTCCTTTCCCTCAGGCATCCCTAGATCCTCTCAGTCTGAATGAATGGCTCTCCCTCTGTGCTCGAGGGCACTCACATAAGGCCCCATGTTCTAGTTATTCATATACATGTTGTCACCTCCCTAAGATGGTAAGTGTCCCAAGCACACTGACAGTATCTCTTTCACTTTATAATTCTCTCTGCCGCCTATGGGCCTTGCTCAAAGGGTGCACTCGATAGTGTTGACTGAATGAATGAGCAAATGTATGAGTGAAAAGCCTTAAAAATCTAGTATCTCTGGTAAACTTGGGCAGTCAAATGGAAGTCATTTTTGTTGTTAACAATTTTACCAGGAATTGGGAGAAAGTGAACAACATATACTTACCTGATGGGCAGATAACACAGAGACAAGAGAACCAGAATAACAGGCTAAACACTGATCTTTATACATGAGAAAGGTTGACTGAGTTAAACAGGGTAAAATTTAAAAGGGCTAAATGCAAAGCCTTGCATATTCTTAACCTCTGTGCTGGCACTTAGGTGCAAACCATTTAATATTAACAGCTAAGTAGAATGTAGTGAATATCTGGCCGTTCTTATGAAGGAGATGGGAAGTAGTTGATTTAAGTTAATACATGTCATCAGTAGGCTACTCAGGATGCCTCATCACTCGGGGTAGACTAATAGAAGTCTTTTGTACATTAAGAAAAAGTTGATCATGAATTCCTGTCTCTGCCCTGTGGAGAGCCAGTGGGAGGTTCAGCTGTGTAGGGACACATCTGCCTCCCATACATGGCAGTGACTGTGTGGACGTGCACTCTCTTTTCTGACTTAGCTCCTTTCCTCAGAGCCCAGCACTGGGCCAGGCAAGTAACAGGTTTGGGTAAATGTTCGTGGAATGGGAACTGATCAAATCAGAGTGTGTCCCTAGGAAGTATGGTGAAAGGTCTGGAAGAAAAAAATAGATAATCTCTCAAAAAATTATAAAAATAATAGAAGCAAGTGGAAATATTTATACTGTGAAACATGTATCTGTTGGTGGGGATGAGTGTATAGGGGAAGTGTGGAGCATGACAACTATCTGTATAGTTAGGAAACTGTCATGTGGAAATGTGGAATGGGAATTAGAATTTTTCTGTTTACCACCAAAAGTTTGGAGGTTAGAGGAGGCAGGTTTTGGCTTAAAGAATTGTCTAAGTGTAAAATGGTCTATATAATGTGTTTTCTTTCCCAAATTTTACAAGCTGAGAAAATTAAGGGAAAAGGGTACTGTAGAGGATCCTTACATTGGAATGGATAAAATGGTTTCTAAGGGTCCTTCTAATTCTCATAGTTGATGATTTCTGTTGAATAAACCAGTCTTTTATGACTACAGGAAAAATGTAGTATGTTAATATAAAATATTATTACTATATTGCCTTATGCTTCTGAAAACATGTTTATTTACATTATTTCAATTGGGCCATATGAGAAAGATAAACATATATAGAGGAAACATTGTTATCATTCTATATAATAAAGATCCCACTGATTAGTATGGACAAGTGACTTGTTCAGCTTCCCTAGAGGAGCTGAGGCCTGGACTTACTAACAAGTTCTTATAGTCAGGCTCTATGTTAGCATGTGAGAACATCCTTAAGAGGCAGCATCCATCTTGGCCCCATTTGACAGATGAAGGAACTGAGGCATAGAGAAGTACTAGTACGTGGTCAAGGTCACATGGCTAGCTATTAAGTGGCAGAACCAGGGTTTGAACCAGTGCGATTTCAAAACTCATATTCTTAACCTCTGTGCTGGTATGCATTTCTCTAATCAGTGTGATATCTCTGGATAAATTGCTAAACTCGTAAAGTCAAAGAACAATCCACAATTTACTTTTGCCGTCAGCCATTCAAATTACCAAGATGGAAACTTAACTAGAAGTGTTTTTTCCCCCAAATGTGGCATCCTGGGATCTGTGTCAAAGGTTAGGAAGAAAAGTTAAAACAAAACAAAATAACCAAAACAAAACAAAAAAACAGCTTACCAAAGGGATTCAGACGATCTGACACCTTACACTGAAACGTGCTTCATGATAGTTATGGATCTCCACTCTGGCTTGTTTGGCATGGAGATGCTAGGTTAAATGGATTTTTCCAAAACCTGCAATCTAATGTTTTCAGCAGAGTGTTCAAACCTTTTATGTGTTCGGTGCTAGCGACCAGAATAAGGGAAGCACAGCATGGTGTGTGAGAGCCCACTGAAGTGCGCTGGCATTTTCTGAATCAACAGACCTCTCAGCGCTTTTGCTCTTGCTGTGCCTTTCTCTATCCCACCTTATAGCTCACTAAAATACTTTGGGTGGTCTAGCCCCACAAGAAATATTTAATACTTGTTGCCTGCTATGCTGCTGTAGATTATGTTCAGTCTTACCCACATTTGCTTTTACTTCTTTTCTCTGCTATATTTGCCAGTCCTTGGGACCTCCTGGATTAGTAATATCAGGTAAAATCGGAGGTTGATAGTGGAAAACTGATAACTTGGTGTTTCAGTAAAATTGAGTCAGATAGCCTCTATACTTAAGAATGCTATAGGTCTGTATTCCCTAATATGGTAGCCATGGGAGCCTCTATACTTAAGAATGCTATAGGTCTGTATTCCCTAATATGGTAGCCATGGGATACCTGTGGCTATTTAAACTTAAATTAATTAAAAAGTCCAGCTCCTTAGTCACACTAGCCACATTTCAGATGCTCAGTAGCTTCACGTGACTAGGAGCTACTGTGGTATAGGTAGTGGACAGCACAGATACAGATCATTTCATCTGAGAAATGGGAATAATAAATAACTACCTTGCAGGGTTGTTTTGAAGATTAAGTAGGGTGTCATAGGTAAAACAATTCTTGGCTTGTGGTAGTGGCTCAAGGGGTGTTCATTCCTTCTTTACGTTTCCCGTGATATGTGACATCCAATTTGGTAGCTCAGAGCTAGTTTATTAGGGTAAGGCTTGCAAAATCTGGCTTCAGTATGAGTGGTCTCCCCGGGTGCCAAGTGATATTGTAGGATTTAGCATACACATTAGGGCTGGGAGCAGTGGCTCACACCTGTAATCCCAGCGCTTTGGGAAGCTGAGGCAGGCGGATCACTTGAGGCTAGGAGTTCGAGACTAGCCTGGCCAACATGGCGAAACCCCGTCTCTACTAAAAATACAAAAAATTAGCTGAGCGTGGTCGCACACACCTGTAATCCCGGCTACTCAAGAGGCTGAGGCATGAGAATCGCCTGAAACCCGGAGGTGGAGGTTGCAGTGAGCCGAGATCTCGCCAGTGCACTCCAGCCTCGGTGACATAGTGAGACTCTGTCTCAAAACAAAAAACAAAAAACATATATATTAGTAATTGTTTGTTCCTTTGATGGGCAGAAATGCAAAAACAACCAATTTTTAATGATGATATCCTTTCTAAGAGGGTATAGAAAGTGGGTTGCATCCATCAGGAAACTTTATGATAATCTATAATCTAAAAACATTCTCCAAACCACATTCCAAGGAAAATCAGACCCATAAAGGTTTCCTTTGGTCAAATAAGTTTGGGCAGCTCTGCATGCTTTATGTCTCTAGGAGATTCTCAATGCACAGTTAAAGGCTTTGGAAGTCCTGCTAGAAACAAGTATGTTTGACATTTAAAAATTTGGCTTTGGTCTTTTGTAGACATGAAAATGCTCCCTGTTCTTATAGGCACCTATTAAAATTGTGTTCCCAGAAACTGTTTTAGAACATACTGCTCAAAGGGCATGGTCAGCTAGCTTTCCAGGGGCATCTGCAGAGAAGGTTCATTCAGAAGCATTTCCTTCTGTGCGAATCCCTAATTCTAACATAACAAAAAGAATGTGGTGCATACAGCTTATTCTCTTTTGTAGTTCTTTAAGGAAAGGATAAACTTGAAGCTAGTTCAGGACCTGAAAGTAACCTATTTTGTCAAGGTTTGAGGTTCAGTAAACAGCGATTGAGATCTCTTATATTTCAGACAACCACAAAAGCTGTTTTTGTACCTGGAGACTAGAGGCTAAGGTAACTGTGTTGCTGTTGGAAAGCAAGTGGTTTTCGAAGCTCTCTGCCTTCAGCAGTTTGTCTTTGCAACACAACGCCCGTTGGGTCTGATGTTGGTCTGATAGAAGAAGGGGAACGTACTTCAACCTGTGTTAAGGAAAAGATTGCTTTGAACAAAGCACTGCCTGTGTTGGCTCTAATAATCTGGTAAGATCTACGGTGAATGGCCTCAACTTTGTTCTTTCACTGCACCATATATGATAAAGGTTAACAGAGAAACCCGCTCATATAAACAATTACAGCATAATGCTACGTTGAGAACTACTAGTCTAGTGACCAAAGCAGGAAAGGATAATGAGCAAGTTTTTGAATCAAGGTTCTAGATTATAGATACACATGTAGATCTACCTATATGTGGGCCACCTATCTTGCCCTATAGCCTTCAGTCATCTATCTCAAGGGTCAGTGAACCTTTTTCTGCAAAGATTCAGATAGTAAATATTTTTGACCCGGCAGGATATATGGTCTCTGTTGCAACTACTCAACTCAGCTGTTGTAGCTCAAAAGTAGCCATAGAAAATACACAAGTGAGTGTGTTCCAATAAAACTTTACCTAGAAAAACAGCAATTGCCCATCCAGATTTGGCCCACCGGTGGTAGTTTTCTGGCCCAGATCTATTTCTTTTGATTTTCATTTTTTGAGAAGGGGTCTCACTGTATCACCCAGGCTGTAATACGATCATGGCTCACTGCTGCCTCTACTTCCCTGGGCTCAAACTGGGACTACAGGTGCATGCCACCATGCCCAGCTAATTTTTATATTTTTTTTTTGTAGAGATGGAGCCTCACCATGTTGCCCAGGCTGGTCTCGAACTCCGGGGCTCAAGCAGTCACCTGTCTCCATCTCCCAAAGTGCTACGATTACAGGCATGAGTCACTGCACCCGGCCTCCTGATTTATTTCTTTGTTCATCAATATAAGCACCAGCTACGGGCAGTTCCTGAAATGCTTGCCTGAATCAGATCCCTATGCTGAAGTGAAAAAACCAAAAATTATTTTAATGAATCACTGGCAGTAATGACTTTGCAATATATCTCAGTGATCTGGCATTACTCTAAATGCTCATTTAGCTGTCATAACACCCCTATGAGTTAGGTCCTATTATAATCATCCCCATTTTTCATAAGAAACCAAGGCCAAAGAATTAGCTTGCTCAGGTCACACAGAGAGGAAATAGCTCGATTTAGCCATTCCACAATGTATACATATATCAAAACATCATGTTGTACACCATAAATATATACAATGTTTACTTTCATTTAAAAAATACATTTTGAAAAAGGTCACACATTGAAGAGATAGTACATCCTGAATGTGGAGCCGGGGCCGACTGGCACCAAAGCTTACACTTTTCCTCCCAATATGATACTGTCTCTTAAGGGAATTTTGGGAAAATCAAATCTCTGTGGCTTAATGGGTGGCACAGCATGCTCTCCAATGGTGCTTTGTTACTTTACAGACATTCTACTGTCCCCATCTCCATCTTCCCAGTCCCACATGCAGATTGCTTGAGTCACGTTGATCTTCTGGCTATTTCCCGAACATGCCAGTTCCTCTCAGAAGTCAGGGTTTAGAAATGCTCTTCCACATAATGGAATTACATTTTCTCTACCCTCCTCACCTGGATGAATTTAGTGCTTCTTTCAAGACCCACCAAAAATATTTCTCCTGTTTTCTCAAACTCTTTTGGTCAGAATTAATTCTTCCCTTTTTTGTTCTAACTGCATTTCCTCAAATTTAATTTATTGGTTTAAGGTTTTTCCTCGTGAAGACTGAGGTCTTAGGTGGCAAGGAGTATTGTTTCACTCAGTACCTAGCACAGTGCATGACTGCTCAACCAATATGTTTTGAATGCAGGAAGAAAACTAAGCCTAATAAGTAGGAGTGTTCGTTATATGCTTTTTGTTGTTGTCGTTGTTGTTGTTGTTTTGAGACAGTCTCGCTCTGTCACCCAGGCTGAAGTGCAGTGGCACGATCTCGCTCACTGCAACCTCCGCCCCCTGGGTTCAAGCAATTCTCCTGCCTTAGCCTCCCAAGAAGCTGGGACTACAGGCATGTGCCACCATGCCTGGTTGATTTTTGTATTTTGAATAGAGATGGAGTTTCATCATATTGGCCATGGCTGGTCTCGATCTCCTGATCTTGTGATCTGTCCGCCTTGGCCTCCCAAAGTGCTGGGATTATAGCCGTGAGCCACTGTGCCTGGCCATTACATGCTTTGTTACATGACTAGGGAAGTTTGGGCTGACTTCTGCTGTTTGAAATTATCCTTAAAGTGTACCTGAATGAGTCTGATCTGGTTTATTAAAAATCACTAAGACATTGTGGAGCCTGATCTAAACTAAACTTATCTAGGAGAGACAAATGAATGATAGGAATTGTGATCAGAGTCATCCTTCATATTAACACTGCATTTTTACCTAAAAAAATGCAACTTTCCAGCAACATGAAATTGCTGTCTCCCTCTTCTCTCTCTCTCCTCTCTCTGTGTGTGTGTGTGTGTGTGTGTGTGTGTGTGTGTGTGTGTGTGTGTTTATTCCTCTGCCTTTAAAAAGACCAGAAGAATGCACAGATGGATTAGGGCAACATTGCTCCAGAAGCATCTTATATAGTTATTTTCATCTGATAGCATCAAGACACATTTGTGGGGTCGTGAGCTGTATTGTAGTCTTCTTGTTTTCCAGAATATATCTGCATGTAGTAGATGTTCAGTAAATGTTGGTTGTTAAATAAAATAATGAATCCACAACATATGGGGCTCATGCTCTTGGAGATTCAAGCTTATTGAAGCATTAATTAGTTGATGTTTTTAGTATACCTCCCATGTGCCAAGCAGGGAGGTAGACCTTAAAGATTACAGAGGTTAACATGACTCAATTGCTTCTCTTAGTTGTTTTATGTTTCATGGATTCTATAATAAGGAACTGTGAGTTGCTATGCTCATTAATGCTATATCCTTGCAACAAAATAGATCATGAAGAAGTAACAGATGCCTCTGTTGCAGCCTCTTCTTTTTTCATACATCTTTGAGTGTGTTTATTATATTCTTCTTGCTTCTTAGCCTGAATTTCTTGAATATCTGAGCACCAAGCATACTACTGGGTTATTAAATGCTTGTGAATGAATGGACATTCTTGGAACCAAAAACATGGAGTTAGGGCGGCACTGTGCTATGCTAGAATGAACTTTGGCTGTGGGTAGGGGATCTGGATTCAAAGCTCAGCTCTGTCCCTGGCTGGCTGTGTGAGGTATTAATTAAGCTTCTATTCAGCTACAGAAAAAGCATGGCCACTGGGAGCAAGGTGGAAGAACTTAAACTATTTGTGGGAAAAGATTATTTAGATCAAGAAGTTAGAAGGACAGCAATGGAATGCTTGTCGTACAGATGTATTTAGGAGAAGGAGGACAGCTAGGAATTTGGGTTTTCTTAAAGCAGATTTCCACCTTAGAATGACCTGGGATCATAGTATGCATGGCTAACATTTGTAAGCAGGAAGTTGGGAGAAGGAAAACAGCAAAAAGTAAAATAAAAATTGGGAAGATTAAGATAGGCTGAATAATGAAATGAAAACGGGTCAGAACTGGCTTTTCTTTCTCTTCTTGATTTCTCCTTGTCTTGTCCTTGGAGGAAGCTGAATTCATCTTTATAGGCCCCTTTGAAGGGAAGCTTTGAAAGAAGGAGTAACTTTATACAGAATAAGTGTTAATTGTCCAGAAGAAGGTTATATGCCAGGGCTCTGATTATCCATGCCACTGGAATAAAGTTGGGACACTTGCTTGCAGAAGTTTGGTTTCCATGAATTAAGGAGCTCCAGGTGATTTTCAGGTCAGGAGTACAATCGTGATTATTTTGGTGTCTGAATAGAACTGCTAGAATTGAAATGACACCTTTTGCAAAATATTTTCGTAGACATTATCTCATTTATACTTAGGAGTATCCCTATGAGGGCAGGTGTTAATATCTCCATTACAGGCAGAAATTGAAGTCCAAGTTAAATGATTTGCCTAAGGCCACACAACTAATGAATATTATAGATGGAACTTGAATCCCATCAGGTCTTCTGATTCAAATTCCATATTCTTTTCATCCTGATCAACTTCTGGAAGAAGGTTACAGTCTTACTTAAGAGCGCCACATAGGGCCAAAACCTTCTTTGTCTGTAATAAGTCTGTGAGCATGGGAGATATTGAAGACTTGTTGAAGAAAGTTTGGTATGTGTTAACAGTGCCACTTATAAGAGCAGACCATGGATGCAGTATTAACAACATTGGTTTGGGGGCCAGGTGGCCTGGGTTTACACTGTGACCCTGCACTAAAAGCTGTATGGCTTTGAGCAAATTACTTGACATATTTATGTTTCCTCACCGTTTACTGAGGAATAAATGAGTTGATATAGGTAAACAACTCAGAAGTTTTCTGGGGTGAGGTATATTAGCTATTACAGTTATTTTTGTTATCAAGCTTGTTTCTATGGGGGGAGTTAGGTATCTAAATTTTCTGTATCTCGGAAAGTATAGGGCTAGTGACCTGCCAGATACATTTCATTTGGGGAACAATTTAGTTATAATTACTATGGAAATAGCTATTGGTCACAAATTGTACCCATGTACTATGCATTAGTATGCTCCTTCCTTCCCTCTCTCCCTACCTCTCTTTCTCCTTCCCTCCATTTATCCATCCTTCATTTCTTTTGTTGAGTTGGACCCAGAAGGATGTTAGGATAATAGGATAAAGGCCAATAGGAGTTCATCATATATGCAGTGGGTGTGGAAACATCATATTTGAGGCAGGGCCACAGGAACTACCATGGTGTGTTTCCCTTAGTTGAACCCACATGGGTACAAAGCAGTCCCGTGTTACTGTTCCCCAGGGATCTTGGATTGTGCTGAGTAGAGGAATTGAGCTGTGGTGGTAGGCAGGGGCTACGGCATGCAGAACCTTACATGCCATACTGGAGAGTTTCAACTTCATGCTGAAAGTAATGGGGAGCCATTGAAACCTTGTCAGCTGGGAATCTAATTGATCAAATTTGCTTTTTGGAATCAGTCTGGAGTAGAAGGTGTGAAGGGCAGATGAAAATTGACAAGAAATAAGTCAAGGATGTGTGTTTACGGGTGTAGGAGAGAAATAATTAGAACCAGAGCCAAGATAATGACAACAAGAATGGTAAATAGAGGCTGTGTTTGGGGGTGCATAGGACAAGGTTCCACCCATGTCTCCTGTTTAAAATAAGGGGGGAGTTGAGGCATGCATTGTCAGTTACTTTTGTGGTGTGAAAGAGAATATCTTTGAAATGTCCTTCTAAAAGAATAACCTAAAAAGGAGGCAGGCAGAGCTGGGACAGCTTCAAGGGCCCTGAATGAAAGAAGAGGCCATGCAGAGCTAGGGCACGTTTTGAAATAATGTTTGTTGCTGAGGCTTCAGAGTGAGCAAGAGGAGGAGTTTGTGAGAGGGAGCAGTATTCTGTGAAGAAGAGAGATTTAGGGTCATGGAGTAGGAGAGTGATAAAGTAATGTGGGGTAAACAAGAGGGATAAGAAGAAAACCAGAAGGGGAAACGAGCTGTGAGAATAGAAAGCTGAGCTCACTTCCAAAAGGTCTGTCTTTGTCTGAAGCACACAAGGGAGAAGAGAAAGGAGAGAGATGAGCTTTCAGAGAAAGAGACGAGGCAGACTAAAGCAGAAAAGGTAGCAGGCCAATTGGAAGTGCAACGGAGCTGCAGAAGGTGGAGAGGCCCAGGAGAGGGGATGGGGCTCAGTTTGTGATGAAGCTGGGGGCAGGCACATGCGGCTGGACAGAAAGGAGGGGTACAGAGGAGCCTCGAAGATTTTAATGAGATCACATCACTTTGGGACAGAACCACCTACACGAGGACTGGGAAACACAAAGAGCAGAAAATGCCAGAGGCCCATGGGACTCTGAGGGAGGAGATGCCTGTTATAATTTTAGCCAAGGAACAGGGCTGTCTAGGATGATGGAGATGTTCTGGGTGAATAGGGGCTGCAGGGTTGGTCAATAGAAGAATCATATAGGGACAGGATTGTTGTTTCACAAACATCAGGTGGCTGTGTGAAAGGAAATCTTTGTTGAAAGATGTATGATCTTGATGTTTATTCAGAAGGAGAAATAATCACATTTGCGAGTGCAGAAGCCTCACAAGGAGAAATGTGTAAAGGAAAATGCATGCAAGAATATGAGTACTTAACTGCATGAGTGAAAAAGGACATCATTAGGAGGGGAGTCCAGCAGTTCACCAAAGTGCCTGGAAATGGAGATGAAGTCAACCTTTGATGCTTGTATTTAGAATCTGTTGAAAGAGTGGAGGAAGAAGACAGAGGGGCATGTAGCAGATAGATCATAGGTGGGTGTAGTTGAAGACACTTAATTTCATCTTTCTTGACTTTCTGGTGGAAGGGCTGGTACCAGGCATTTTAACCTTTGTACCTCAGTTTTCTCTCTCTTTTTTTTTTTTTTTTTTGAGGCTGAGTCTTGCTCTGTCACCCAGGCTGGAGTGCAGTGGCATGATCTTGGCTCACTGCAGTCTCCACCTCCTGGGTTCAAGCAATTCTTCTGCCTCAGCCTCCCGAGTAGCTGGGACTACAGGTGTGCGCCACCATGCTTGGCTAATCTTTGTATTTTTAGTAGAGATGGGGCTTCACCACATCGGTCAAGCTACTCACGAACTCCTGATCTTGTGATCTGCCTGCCTTGGCCTCCCAAAGTGCTGGGATTACAGGCGTGAGCCACTGCGCCTGGCCTGCTCTTGGGTTTACAATGTTACTCTGATGATTAGAAGAGGAGCGTGTGTGTGTGTGTGTACATATACACATATATATACACAAAACGTGGTTTGGCAGTAATCTATTTTATTATTAAATGCAAAAGATACGAAGTTCAAAACTCAAAGATGGACCAGTGAGAATTTCCTTTGCCTGTCTTAGAGAAGATAAAATTCTGGTAGTACTGCTAATGTTGACATTAACCTTCTCCTTATCCTCCTAGCTATGGGTTATTAGGGGTTTATTCTTTTCCCAGCCCTGTGCTGGCTCTGTACACATCATCTTAATCCTCACACTAGTTTATAGAGGTAGGCAGTATTGTACCCATTTTCCATACAAGGAAACTGAGGCTTGGAGAGGCTTAGTGACTTGCTTGAGGTCTCTCACCTAGTAAGTGAGGGAACTGAATCCAAACCCTCATTGACTAAATCCAAAGTCTTACTGTTAACCTCAAAGTGGAGAAAGTAGAGAGCTGGATACATCTTAAGAAAACAGGGTTAGACTGACTATCATGCTGATTCCACTGCTGAGAGTCCTGTAAGGGAGCTGGCTGTGGTTCCCCACCATGGGAATTAGATGGCTTCCTGGAACAAAGAGCCGATGGCATCAGCAGGCAGCTCACAGATGTGCCCTGGAAGCAGGATAAAGCAGAATCATTCTACAGCTTAATGTTGCATGGGCCTCAGGTTTGTGAACATTTTAAAATTTCTTTTCCCTATTCGAAAAATCTGGTGTGAAGAGCATGTTCTGCCATTACACACACACACACACACACACACACGCACACGCACACAGTACCAGAAGATAGTGAGGAATGAGGCTGTACTGTGTGAGGAAGAGGGCCATTTCAGGAGCAAGGACTCAGTGTAATGGAGTGAACTTAGGTGAATCTTTTGATCTTTTGAGCCTCAGTTTGTTCATCTGCAAAGTGAAGGAGTTGATCCATTTGATCTCTAGGGTCCTTCCTGGTCCTGACAGGCTCTATTGAATATAGAATATAGAACCTACAATGGGTTCTATTCAGTCTCAGGTTGTTTTGTTACCAGTTTTCCAGGACTGGCCCTCACTTCCTGTAGGCCCCCGTAAAGCTGACCAGGATTCTGTCCCGTGTTTATGGAGATGAAAAAGACGGGTTTTTTTTTTTTTTTTTTTTTCCCAAGGGGCCTAAGTGAGGCAGAGATAAAACAAATTGACCTTCTATTGTCCTAGTGCATAATTGTGTCTATCTGACCACTAGTGTGGAGGTTCCTTGAAGGATAAAGACTCTGCCTTATTTATCTTTGTATCTCCAGGGTCTAGAACAGTCCCTATTCAAAGGCTGATGAATAAATGGATAGATACCATCCATGCCATTTATGAAGTCCTTGCTACATGCCAAGCTCTTGACTTCCCTTAACTCACCTAACCCCAACAGCAACCCAGTGAGGTGGGAGCCATTCTGTTTCCCATGTTATCCTGCAGAAACAGTCACTGAGTAGCCCAGTCACTCACCCAAAGCTGCACAGACTGGGGAGTGACACCATTTGGATGGAAACCTTTGCTGTTGCTAACTCTATAACCCATGCTCTTAACTCACTCAGCTGTGCCTCTTCCAAGAGGCAGCTAAGGACACATTTAAATACCTTCCAAGGGGAGTGATCAATGAACAATCATTCCTTTGTAAGCAAAATGAGATCAATGATAAAGTGCAGCACGATTTGGTAGACTCCATGGTACCTTGCCATTCTGGGGACATTTTAATGAGTAACACTACCACATGGCTAGAGTTAAATTGCATTTTGTTCTAACACAGTAAGTTTTTAGGCCCTTTCTCCCTAGATCCTTGCCTTAATGCCTATATTTCACCCTTACTGAACTGTTTACTCTTTCTCTGAGTATGTCATGCTGTCTCTTGCCTCTGGACTCTGCACTTCCTGAGATGTAATTACAGGCTTTCTTTTCTGACTCCTCAATTCAACTGTGTCTCCTTCAAGGCAGGGGCTATGTCTCATTTTCCTACATATCACCAACCAAGGCTAGCATATGGTAGTTGCTAAGTAAATGTTTGCTGACTGAATGCATTACAGATGATCCAGAAAGTGATTTTTATCCTGCCCAGAACCACACAGAAAGACTACATGGAGCTACTTCCTGCCACACGTCTTCTTGCTTTACACAGGCTAACACATGCATATGCCTATGAAGTTCTCTGAGATTCTGAAGCAGTAAAAGGAGCTAATACAAATTCAAGAAATAATTTTATGTGAAACATCTAGACTCAAGGTTGTCCTATTTCTCTTTTTCCAAAATGTAGTAACATATTTTATTTGCACTGATTGGCAGTGTTTGAATAATACCTAATCCCTAAGTTTTTATCTGGGCAATGGGAGTATATGGTCTGCCCTGGAGACTGAGCAGCTGTGTCCTGCTGCTGCTGTTGATCCTGGGCAGACATCCCAATCTGTGTATTGTTCATTATCAGTGATCCAAGATGGGTTTTGTGTTTCTGTATAACCTATTGCTTCTTCTAGAGAGCATGTCATAGCATGGGGGAGTATGTACATTTTTAACATGCTTTACAAATATCCTACGTGTACATCCTTACTGATCTGACATATTTTTATTTTTATGACAAATTTTTAATTGTGATATGAAGTACATGTAAAATTTATCATCTTAACCATTTTTAAGTGTATGTTGTTCAATAGTGTTGGCTATTCACATTGTTGTGCAACCAATCTCCAGAACTTTTTCATCATGCAAAATTGAAACTCTGTACCCTTTAAACAATAACTCCCCATTTTTCCCTCCACCTCCCAGTTCCTGGCAGCTACCATTCTACTTTCTATGAATTTGACTACTCTAGATACGTCATAAAAGTAGAATTGTGATTGGCTTATTTCAATTAGCATGATGTTCTCAAGGTTCATGCATGTGTTAGAATTTCCTTCCTTTAAAAGGCTAAATCATATTTCACTGTATATATTTATCACACTTGGTTTATCCATTCATCTGTCAGTGGATATTGGGGTTGCTTCTGCCTTTTGGCTATTGTGAATAATGCTGCTATGAATATGGGTAGACAAATGTGCGTACTTCTTCATGATACTGCTTTCAGTTCTTTTGGATGTATATTCAGAAGTAGAATTGCTGAATAATATGGTAATTCTATGTTTACCTTTTTGCGGAACCGTCATACTGTTTTCCATAGTGGCTGCACCATTTAACTTTCCCACCAGTGGTTTGCAGGGTTCCAGTTTCTCCACATCATCACCAACACTTGTTATTTGCTGTTATTTGTTTGTTTGTTTGTTTTTATAGCAGCCATCCTAACAGATGTGAAGTGATATCTCATTGTGGCTTTAATTTGCATTTTCCTAATGATTGGTGATGTTGGGCATCTTTTCAAATGCTTGTTGGCAATTTGTATGTCTTCTTTGGAGAAATGAGCATTCAAGTCTTTTGCTCATTTTTAAATTGGGTTGTCTTGTTCTTGTTGAGTTGTAAGAATACTTTATATATTCTGGATATTAACCCCTTATAATATATGATTTGCAAATATTTTTTCTTACCACTTATTACTCTTTTGATCATGTCCTTTGATGCATAGATGTTTTAAATTTTGATATAGTGTGATTTACGCATTTTTACTTTTGTTGTTTGTGCTTTTGGTATCATATCCAAAAAATTGTTGCTAAATTCAGTATTGTGAAACTTTTCCTTTGTGTTTTCTTTCAAAGGTTTTGTAGTTGTAAGTTTCATGGTTAGGTCTTTGAGCCATTTTGAGGTAATTTTTGTAAATGGAGTTAGGTAAGGGTCCAATTTCATTCTTTTGCATCTAGATATTCAGTTTTCCCAACACTGTTTGCTAAAGACACTGTCTTTTCCCCACTGAATTTAACCCTTGTCAAAAATCATTTGACCTTCTATGTGAGGTTTTATTTCTTGGCTTTCTGTTCTCTTCTATTGGTCTCTATGTCTGTCTTTATGCCAGCACCACACTGTTTTCATTACACTTACTGATCTTGATTCTCCAAATAGTATGAGATTCCAGGGGCAAGTGCCAGTGAACCCATGAAAACGTTGAGGTTCAAAGAAGGAAAATGACAGCTCCAGATCATCCTGCCAGTAATGTGCAGAGATAGGTTTCTGTGCTCTTCATTATGCTACAAAGTCTGATTCATTGTGGGCCAAAATACCCCAACCTGAGAATCAGAGGGACAGACATGAACAGGCTCTCATAATAGAAAATTGCTGTTGGAAGGAAAAACAAAACCAGTATGTGCTAGGCCCTCAAAATACTCTAAATACATTTTTTAAAAAATTAATGAACTTGTCATTTCCGAATGACTTCAGCTCTTTCCTAATCTCAATTTCTTTCATTCCACCCTTAACCAGCAGCTCACTCTCTGTAATATACACTACCACCTTATTTAACACTACAGTCCAACCCCCAAGCCCTGCCACTTTTATTCCCCTCACCTTTCTCTACTTTTATTTTTTTCATAGGACTCATACCTTCTAACTTTCTGTATACTTGCTGGTTTTATATTTATTGTTTATAGTCTGCCCTTAGATTGTTAGTTCTTTGAGGCAGGGATTTTTTTGTTTGTCTGTTTGCTAACATAAAGAATGCATTCCTGTGGTAGACAGAATAATTGGCCCCCAAAGATGTCATGCCCTAATCCTCGGAACCTATGAAGATGTTATTCTTATATGGAAAAAGAGACTCGGCAGATACCATTAATATAAGGACCTTGATATGAAGATCTTGGATTATCAAGGTGGACCAATCGAACCATCTGAATCTCTAAAAGCTGAGAACCTTTCCCCGGCTGCAAAGAACCAGAGAGTTGGCAGCGTGAGAAGGACTTACCATTGTTGGCTTTGTAGATGTGAGAAAAGGGCCACAAGTCAAAGAATCAGTGGCTTTTAAAAGTTGGAAAAAGCAAGGAAATGGATTCTCCCTTTGAAGCTCCAGAAAGGAATGTGGCTTTCTGGATATTTTGATTTTAGTCTAGAAATACCTTTATTGGACTTCTATAGCAGTGAAAATAATAAAATTCTATTGTTTTGAACCACTAAGTTCATGGTAATTTGTTATGGCAGCAAAAGAAAACTAATACAGCACTCAATAAACGTTTGTTGAGAATGAATGGATAAATGAATGAGCCTCAGATCAACCAACATTGGGAGGTAAGGATTCATCCTCATTAAGAGGAAACTGACTCAAGCAAATTGAAGTATCTTGGTCAGGGGCTCAGTCTGTGACTAGCAGTGTGGGATTTCAAATCTCTCTGATTCTCAGCCACTTCCCTATGTCTCCTCCCTTGCTGTTGGGTGAGAGTGTGTTGGTTTGCTATTGATCTTCCCAACAGCACACGGTAAATCTCACTGGTTCATCCTCAGATAAGGTGAGTCTCTCAACTGAGACGGGAAGAGGGAGGGTGAAAGCTTTATCATACCCAGTACAATTTAGAGACTTAATTAGCAGCCTCAACCCCAGAGCATTTGCTTATGCTTATATACAAACAAACAAGCCACCCAGCAGCTTCTTTGTTGTGATCAGCAGGAAGCAGCCACATCTGTCTTCAGCATCTGGACTTCTGAGCCAAGCTTGGGAAGCTCATCAGATTCAGGTCACCCCAGGACCAGGGGCTATCTCTGTCTGGGAAAGCAGTGAGCTCGAAGTTTAATTTCACACCATCAGCTCTGAGATAAATGTCGAAACCAATGCCCAATTGTTAATAATAAGGGATGAATGTGGGCAGAGAACCTATAAAGTCATATTCTTAGAGAATTGATTGTACAGACACCACAGATTTATTTCAGTGGATTTGGGAGCCTCTGTACATGGCAGACTAGCTGAGGCAGATGGCGTGTGCAGGAGAAAATGGTGAGGAGACTGGTTTCCTCACAACAAATTTCCATTGAAAGTTTTGTTAGGATGTGACGGGGCTGCTTCCCGGACCTGAACAAAATAGAGATCATCCATATGAAAAGAGAGAGAACACAGCAAGCATTCTGCATGAGTAATGCATGCAACTCTGTGATACCAGGCTGTATTTATTCTATAGACATTGCACATCATCAGTATTTTAAGAGCAACATCTTCTATATAAAAATACTCAAGAGCCTTATGCTTTATACTGTGGACTCCAATGTAATTACACTCTCTTGTTGACTAGATGTAAGAAGCTTGAGTTGATTACCCAAGGCTTGTTCCCTGCATTTCTGTTTCTCTCTCATTTGACAGGTACCATATCCATTTGTTCTATTATCTTCTAAGTTTGAATTGGAAAAATAAGGTAAATCAGAGCAGTCTTTCTTAAGTTATAAAACCAACCATGTGAAGATGCTTTGAATGCTGTTCTGCTTGTATATAACTAAGAACTAGCGCCTCACGGTAATTTTGCAGGTGATTAGCCTGCCATGTAGAAACGGCCCTTTGGGAATGACAGGGAAACATGAGGTTGTATTTCTTTACAATAAGCAGGTTACATGAGAGAATTTCTGTCTCCTTACTCCTTCTCTCTGGAAGTCTTACCAATATTTTAGGATAGGGATGGAATATAAGCTTGGAGGAGATATAGGAGACTCATACTCATCAACTCTTACATTTCAAATGTAATCAACAAATGGATTGAGGTGCTGCATGTGCTAGGCCTGGAGTTTGAAGGAGGACTTAGGCACAGCCTTTCTGTTGAGAATATCCTTTTATTGTATGTTCATCAAGCTCCTGTACAGCCTGCATGTTATAAATCAAAGGCTACCTCCTCTGTGAAGCCCTTCTGGATTCACTTTAGACAAACCCACGTCTTAGTTACTGCTGTAACATGTTATTAGTGTGCTTTATGTCTCCCCACTGGACCTAGCCCTGTAAGAGCCTAGAGGCCAATGCCATTTCACCTTTGTATTCCCATTGTTGGCATGCAATATAAACACATTGTACTCATTATGATCATCATTATCATTATCATCACCATCATTACCATCATTGTCACTATGTTCCAGGCTTCGTCCTAAGCTGAATTATCCAAACTGCTGGCCACTTTAAGGAAAACCCTTCAATAGCTAAAGGTAAAGATGTTAGCTATGGTAAAAAGTACAAAGTAGTATCTGATTGACCAATATTTGGGTAAGACGGTTCTAAGGAGTGTGGTAACAGAAGAGATTAAGTTAATAATGGTAGCCACTATTTATAAGAACCTGTTCTAGGCTACGCTTTATTTACGTAACAACACCATATCAGTTTTATGGCAGCCTCCAGGAAATAGAGAGCCTAGTTTAGATCAGATGGCTTCACTCTTCAGTTTTTTTGTTAGTAATTTCTCTATGTCTCTATTTTCATTTCTATAGAATGAAAATAATATGACCTACTTCAGAGGGTTGTTGTGGGATTAAAGGAAATAATGAATGCGCCTGACACCAAGTAGGTGCTCAATAAATATTTGGTGACTGTTAAAACTTTGCAGAGTGCTTGGCATTTACTAAGTTATTGACAAAATAATAGAAACAACAACTATTATTAATTGAGTGTTTACTATGTGCCACACACTTTTCTAAGAGCTTCACGTGGATTCACATATGAGCTAATATCACCACTTCCGTTTGGCAAATGGAAAAACTGGCATCAGAATGGTGAAATAACTTACCCAAAGTCGTGGTGTTAATGAGTAGCAGATTTTGAACGCAAGCCCTTGATCTTCTTCTTCATGAAGGTTGGATATCTTTCTACTACATCTTTGCAAAATGCTGAGAGAGGTAAATCATAGTCTATAGGTGGCTTGGAGTTCACACCGTATCCAGTGTGTAATACTGAATCTGCCCTTGTTTGCCTGATTTGGGAGAAAGTTGTTACAGCTGGTGAACAAGCAAACAGCATTGTTTGTTACCCTGGGGCACTCACTTGGTTGAATGTTGGGACCTGGCTGGCAGGTTCCAACCTTAGGCAGTTGTTAACCTGCAATGATCAAACTGTTGGTCTGGCAGCTAAACCACACCTGATGGGGAAAATTTACCCAGTTTACCTTTATTCTAACAAATGTTCATAGCAAACCTGCCTGTGAGCTGTAGTATTAATTTCACTCTGGGTCGTTGATTCTTACTTTGTAACTTCCTTAGATATGGTGGTTCATGCTTTAGTCTACTGAAAGGTGGACTTGGGCAAATACTTATGGCTTCACAGTTCCAAATGAAGTGGGATGGAACTAAGTTTATTAAACTCTCTTATGTTACATTTTAAGATATCTTACAGATCATCTATCTAAGAATGTATTTGTTTGTTTGTTTTTGTTTTTTAAGCAGTGGAGACCTATGTGATCTCACACATAACTTCAATGTACGAAATAGGAAAAGATGGTGGGGGAGGGGGTTTCTTAGCTGGTAGCCCCTCCTTACTACCCGCTTCTTTCTAATCTTTAGGAACTCTTATGATAGACCTTGAGATAACTGTAAAGAACCACCCTAGGTTTACCCACAGCACAGTTAAAGACTTCAAGTTAGTTCTAGTCCCCAAGAACTAACAGAGACAGAGGTAGCATCTAGAAGCTAGGTCTTTTGACATTTGCTCCAGTGCTCTTTTCACTCCACTACAATTAATTTACTTTAGAAGAGAAGCTAATCAAAGGTAGGAAATGTTTGGAGTAGCAACAGTTTTTTTAGTAAGCAGTGACATCCTCAATATTCTCCTTTTGGGTCCATGAAAAAGATGGTTAAACATATGTTCTTAACCCCCCTCCAAGTCGCTGAGGCATTCTGTGCTGCACTGCCAAATTTTGTACATTCTAGTGACTCCTTCTTCTCCCTAATGCATTGCTAAAAATAAGAAAACTCACACAAAGGCATATGTTGTGGTTTGTCTTTGATTTGGGCACGGATCATCCAAGTGTGAAAACAAAATTGGTTGCTCCATCCTTCTAATACACAGATTTGCACATCTGTACTGTACTTCCTGGAGGGAATTATAACTTAATATCTTATACAGCTTGGTAATTTCACAGAGACACCTAATACCCAATACCTCATGTGATGATTATGGAAGACATATCAAGGTGGGCAGAATGGGTGGCTTTATTTATAGCTTTTCGTAATTAAGAAAAAGATTCAAATTTGAGGAGTTCCTCAGGATTTAAAACTAGCTCGTCAACCCTAAAACCTCTTTTATTTATTTGATGATTGCCTGGCTCTCATCTTTAGACAGGGGCAGAATATTACTAGCTTTTGTTTTTAATGCTAAACTAGCCTTGGGAATGTGGGTGATAATATAATGGCCATCCCAATTGTTGGAGACAGTGCCCCTTTGGCAAAGGAGTCAAAAATAGAGTGCCGGTACTGAGTTCTCTTGAGAGAGTTGGAGGTTTGAGCTGGACGTCTTTTGTTTGTCCCTCCAGACCCTGCCTCCATCCTGCTCTGAGCTCTGAGAAACTGACCCATATGATTCCATTAGCATCCCTGCCCTCTGGCCTCTGGTTCATTTGGCCAGCAGGGGAACATTTGCAGGAGGCCTCTGGTAGGGCATGAGTGAAGCTGATGAGTGAAGTTTATTTCCCATCTCCCACATTTCAGGATTGCTGAAGTCTAGCCATCTTCCTCCACCAGACGTCACAGTCCTGTAGAAGGACCCTTTCCACCCAGCCTCTATTTTTAGATTCTATAACTGCTCCTTCCTCCTGTCCCTCAGGCCTTGGAGTGGTAACAGCTCCCCCAGGGTTACTAGCCCTGCCATACTACACCATCCCCTGCAGCTTCCCCATAACTCTGCCCACGCCTTTGCAGACGGTCCCTTTATGAAACCTAAGGTTACTCAGCTGGAGGATGCCATCTGTGTCTTGCTGGGGCCCTGATAGAAGTTTCTTAGGTGACATGTAGTAATTATAATGCCTTACATTTTGAGCCTTTCAGGTAGTAAGAGGGAGGACTTAACTGGAAAAAGTCCTCTGCATTGCCTAATTTGTAGTTCTGTTTGACTTTCAAATATACCCTTGGCCACAGTAGCAGGAGCTGAAGACTATATACATATGCCTATGATTCTCAATGTTTATGTGCATAAGAATCATCTGAGGAGGTTGTCTGAATTTACAGTTTCTGGGCACCTCTCCCCAAAGATTTCGATTCTGTGGACAAGAAGTGGTGCTCAGGTATCTTCATTTTTAACAGGGTCCTAGATGAATTTGATGTGGGCATACCTAGACCACATTTGAGAAACACTTCTTTATGCCAATAGACTCCTTATCAGTGGCCTGCCTTTTCTTTTCTTTTTTTTTTTTTTTTAAGATGGAGTCTCACTCTGTCACCCAGGCTAGAGTGCAGTGGCATGATCTAGGCTCACTGCAACCTCCACCTCCTGGGTTCAAGCGATTCTCGTTCCTCAGCCTCCAGCGTAGCTGAGGTTACAGGCACGTGCCACCATGCCCAGCTAATTTTTGTATTTTTAGTAGAGATGGGGTTTCACCATGTTGGCCAGGCTGGTCTCAAATTCCTGAACTCAAGTGATCTGCCCACCTCGGCCTCCCAAAGTGTTGGGATTATAGGCATGAGCCACCGGCACCTGGACAGTGGCCGGCCTTTTAAATTTTTCTGCCAGATTCTGTCATCAGATTCATATCTTTCAAGTGGACTTAACATTGAGTTCTCTGTACATATATGTGTGTGTGTTTAACAAGGGAAATTTTGTTGAAAAGAACCATTAAGCAAGATAATGCTGTATCTTTTCCATTAATAAAACTAGTTGAAGATGGCAGTTTTTCAGTAGGCTGTACATTTTGATGAGTCCTTTTATCTTTGAACAGTTTTCTGTCTCTTTATCCATCTGTTCATTCATCCAGTCACTCATGAAACATTTATTAAGCATCTACTGTGTGACAGGCACTTTTCTAAGTTCTGGACATACAAAGTCATCCCTGTCCCTAAGATGTTCACAGGTAGCTGGAAACAAACATGTAAGCAAGAGGTATTTGTTTATTCACTCAACAGGTATTTATTTTGCACCCGATATTTGCCAGGGATTGTTCTAGGCACTAGAGATACAAAAGTGAATAAAACAGTCAGATATTCCTGCATCGTGAAGCTTAAATTCTCACTTTATTAATCTCCTAGTGGTAAATAGTATGGTCAGAAACAAAAGACAGAGTTTTTACTTACATGAGGATTGTAGGAATTCTTCTGCTAGGCAGCACCAGCTTAACTGTGACAGTTCCCAGCAGTGTGCAAGGCTAAGTCTAGATGGGATGGCCTGGATCCTTGCCCATTGATGATCAGCGCAAATTTACACAGACAGACTAGAGAAACCAGGGACTGGGAGTGGAAAGGGTTTAACTAGAGGCTGCATGTCTCAAAAATGCAGTGTTTTGGAGTAAGTCTGGCAGAGCAGTTGATTTTGGGAAAAATGTAAGGGAAAGTACCAGATTGCTTGGGTGTGTGGAAGACAAGACAGTGGAGCAAGCCATAATGGAAAGGAACTTTAGGCATTTTGTGTTACCATGGAATCTCTTGCAGCACATCCTAGCATCTGTTCATACCTCTGGGAGTGCATGCGTCATGAAATATGACAGTTGTCTGTGTCCGTGTCTCTGCAGTTATATCAAACTTCCTTACGACAGGAACCATGCTCGATTCATCTTTCTATCCCTGGAAGCTCATGGAAGGCAATACACAAAATATTCGTTGAATGAAGGAATGCATAAACAGTCAAACAGCTCTTTATTAAATACCTACTGTTTGCCAGGCACTGTATTAGATTCTAAGGAGACAGAAATGAAAATACTTGCTCTTACATCCAAATAGACACACACAGACACACATGCATGAGGCTACTGTGCTGTGTGCCCAGAGTTAGGGCAGGGTCATGGCAGTCAGCGTTACCTAGGCTCCAGTGTGGTGGTTAAGAGAGTGGGGTCAAGTGGTTCAGAGTTTGGGCTCTATGACAAGACTGTCTGGATTCAAATGCTGGCCCTTATGTTTAGTAGCCCTGTGATGTTGGGCCTACTGCATATATTTCTGTGTCCCAGGCTCCTTTTCTGATATTTACTTTAATCTACGTAAAAGAGCTTCCTTAGAGCTTGCCTGGGACATAGCAAGCATCATATAACTCTTGGCTGTTGTGGAGGTTAATAAGCATGGCCTTTGTCACCAGGGTTGGAATCAAGATCTATCTCTGCTACTTCCTAGCTCTATTACCTGAGCAAGTGAGTTCACCTCAGCTTCTGCCCCTGCTTAAGTGATCTAATAATGTTCTCTGACTTGGGATTGTTGTGAGGGTTCAATGAGATCCTGGAGATCGAGCACTTAGCTTAATACTAAGAACTCATTTTCAATGAGTGTGCTTAGCTGTGGGGGAGGAAATGAGTGGGAGAGGAGACAGCCACCTGCTCCTGTGGAGGGCTTCTGTGGGGTGAAGCTCAATCCTAGGGTGATGGGAGTTCCTTTGTCTCCATCAGTTGCACAGCCAGGGACAGAGAGAAGGGTTGGGACCTGGAAATCAGAGTGGCAGAACAAGCACTAAATGAATGTTCTATTGTTATGATTTGTGATTCTGGAACTGGGCAGAAGCCTGTATCCTGGGACAGAATGGCAGGTCATAGCAGGACCAGCCATTACAAAATGGGCTGCTGCACCTTATGAAAATTTAGGTAGGGACTTTCAGCCTTCCTGCTCAAAAGGGTGGGCTTTAGCTACACTCCCGGACCAAACAGAGCCCCTACTACTGGCTTCATGTGAAATATTTTCTAGAAAATACTGACGCACAGGCCATTTTCAGACCAATTACACCTTTGTCCCTAGAGGTGCTACCCAGGTATTTTATAAAAGATTTCTAAATGATTGTAGTGTGCAGCCAGGGGTTTAGAGCTACCCATGCAGAGCCAAGCTGTCCTGTTCATGGGCAGAGGCTGAAGAGACCAGGAAGGGCAGGAGATGAAGAAAGAATTGTCTAGGTCTCTTGGAAAGATCAAGACTCTTTGAAGCTTAAACACTTAATTTTTATCTCCAAATAATACAACCATAAATTTATTGAGCATAATTGGAAAAGGGATTTACTCTGGAATAAGTGTCTTTTTATGTCAAATATTAATAGAATGGTATTAATTTGAAAAATGATTCACTTCCATAAAAAGCTTGCTTTCCAAACAAAATAATACATTTCTTAATATAAAAGTTTAAAAGAAATTAATAAAAGTTTACATGTTCTTGATTTATGAGTAAATAAGGCATTGAAATTACAAAATTTTATTCTGTTGGATGATCTATATCATAATACCTTCTGACAAAAATGCTTATCTATTCTTAAGATGTTTTGTTTATTCTTTTGTTTACCTTACTGCCAAAATATTTAGCCTCATCACTGGTAATAAAATAGTCAATTTTTTCATTTATGCAACAAAGGTTTACTGTTAAAACATAAAGCATTTTTTGGTTTGTTTGTTTATTTTAATTTGTCACAGGTAAACTTAGCATGCCTGTGTCAGCAGATTCAAATTCCAGCAAAGGGACCTGTCCCCATGGATTTACCATAGAAAGGTTGCATAAAATTGTAATAAACAATTTTTCTGGGCTCAAAAAAAATGTGCATACTTCTTTATCCCCTTTGGGATATGCTTCCTGGAGGAGTCTGAAATAAGGCTGGAAAAATTGTATCCAATTCTTTAATAACCCTTTAAGTATCTTCTGATATGTGTTTCAGAAGGTTGCCACAGATATATAATTTGCAACGGGAAAAGATGAACTCAAATTTTATAAGAACCCGGCGATTATGTTCTTGAAATATGTTCATGCCTATACCCGTGGCGCGAGAGCCACCCTCCCTGATTTATTCTGCTTGGACCAGAATTTGCGACTGCTGATTTCTTTTCATCCACTTTTCCTAATAGATTCAGGAAGTAATTTTCAGATACAGGAACAACAGATCACAGATAATAAAAGTAGAGCATGGGCAATTTGGGAGGCAGATAAACTTATAGAGATGAGATCTCTTTATACCACTCCTCCCTGTTTTGCACTTGTAACTGCAATGCATGATTCTCTTTTATTTCCCATTAAATACAAATGCTTTCCAATGGTGCCTTTGAGGGGGCAGGTAGGGGGCTGTACAAGCACTCCTTCTGTTAAACACAATAGGCATACACACACACGTGCACACACATTTTTCTTTCTTCTAGAGAACTTTATTTGCTGTTAACTGAACACTTGGCCTATCAGCCCCGTTATGTGTTGTTAAAATTTAACCACCACTGAGCATCATTAAGAGGTCACAGAACCAGTCAGAAGAGATAGAGGGATGGATCCAACAAACCAGCACCTAAGGATTCCAATGAACTGACATCTTCATTTCTTTCTTTCATTCTTTTTAATTTATTTTGAGACAGGGTCTTGTTCTGTCACACCCAAGCTGGAGTGGACAGTGTCACAAGCACAGCTCGCTGCAGCCTCGAACTCCCAGGCTCATGGGATCCTCTTACCTCAGCCTCCCAGAGTAGCTGAGACTACAGGTGCATGCCACCATGCCCAGCTAATTTTTGGATTTTTTTTTTTTTCTAGAGACGTAGTCTCACTCTGTTGCTCAGGCTGGTCTCAAACTCCTGGACTCAAATGATCCTCTCACCTCGGCCTCCCAAAGTGCTGGGATTATAGGCATGAGCCACCATGCTCAGACTTGCTTTATTTCTTTAAGGTAGACATGGAAGGAGAGAGAAGTCATTTTTTGCTTGTAAAGTGGATACTCCGAGAAGTGTATCATATATTCATCTTAAAGGCCATGTGTATAAACAGAAAGAGTTCTTGAGGAAAATATCATACTATTATAAGATAATCTACTGTACATATTGTGTATGTAGGCACTCTGAAAGCAAAATGGCATTTTTAAAAAGCTCTTCAGCCTCGATAGAAAAAAAAACAGGAGCTTAGATGTATTTTCTTGAAGGCAAGGTCTGTGAAAATCCTTTTATGGAGCTTGTGTGCCAAAACATGCTGTGTAAAGTCAGCCAGAGGTCATTACCGTTTTTATTAGGTGATTATATTATAAATATGAGTTGGGCCTCAATCATAAGCAGATCCTTTATGTGTGTTTCTGAACATGCAGGCTCCAAAGTGCTAAATTCCAAATTGGAATATTGATTGTCTGATGCCTGAGTTACAGCTTTCCTGAAATCTTGAATTAGGCCTCAGGTCCCATGTGTCTTTCTGGAGATAAGTTCTTCTTGTAACTGGAAGATGTAAGGTCTTAAATAGCGGGCCCCACAAGGTGGAAATCCAAAGGCAGACTTGGGCACCATTCTCTCCCTTGTGAATCAGGAGGTATTAAACACACCAGTTTATGGTGTCTATAGAGAAATTGTCATAATTTGTAAATGTCTATGAGTTTGCTCTTGGGTAAGGGAGACATTAATGCATTCCTGCGAATGTTTATTATTTCCGTGCAAATCCAATTGAATAATTTGTCTTCGATTCTGTAGACTTTTTCTTAGAAAAAGGAACCACAGGCCTCTCTGCTAAATTTTCTAATTCTGTAAATATTCTTGAGTTTTAAAGTTTGACCTGATGCTTTAAAAATAGTCAAACATACCTTAAGCAGGATTTCTCCGTTTCAGTAGTATTGACATTTTGTGCCAGATAGTTCTTTGCTATGCATTGTAGGATGTTTAGTAGCATCCCTGGCCTCTACCCAGTAGATTTCAGTAGCACCTCCCCACATCACAAGTGACAATCAAAAATGTCTCAAAACATTGTCCCCTGGGGTGTAAAGTAGCCCCTGGTTGAGAATCACTGCCTTAAAGTGGTGGCCAAACAAAGATCTTCAATGTTCTACATACAAAATGAAGTGAATCTCTGAGAGTTTAAAACAAGATGTAGATGCAAACCTGAGCACTACAAATACTTGTTCCTATATTGACTTCCCCTGTAGAGTGAGTCCTGAGAGCAGGGCTGTGAGTTTTGTTTCCCCATGGCCTAGTACTGCCAGGCAAGTCATAGAGCCCCAGTAAATATTGAGTGGGTGAATAAGAGAAATAAATCACCTGTCATTAGACGCTTCCATAAATGTATATATAAATATGAGTTGTATGTATTCACATAGTTCCATTAAAAACTTACTAAATATTACTCTTTTATATCCCAGTGTCTGAATAGTAATGCGCACAGATCAGACATTGAATTGGTATTGGCTGAACGGCTACCTGGCACATAAAAAGTACATTGAAATGATAAATTAACAGAACACCCATGGCCATATGCCATCAGACATGTGTTTTTGTGGCGATTTCAACAGTCAGTGAGTTGGATGTGGGATACTCGACGGTGGCCACCCTGCAAGGTCTATTTACTTTGCCTCGTTTGAAATTCAGTCTCCATGCCTCGGTTGTCCAGGTCCCCCGTCTGGTCTTTCTGAATCCACACTAGTGAGAAGGAGAATGTTATGGTTCAGCAGGAAATGGATCGTTTTGTTTTAAATTTCCAGGTCACCACAGCTGTGCATATAGCCGCTACTTATTCCCAGATCTCTCCTTGCTGCCCTGCCAGAGCTATGACCAAAATTAGGGCGATGGCTCTATTTTGAAGGCCTGAGTTTAAAGTTATAAAAAAAGTCAGGGGACAGCAGCCATTCCCAAGATTTATGCTGAAGCAGCACAGAAGTTTAATGTTATTGAAAAGTATTTGAAATCACTTTTTAAACTTTAGATTTAAATTTATTTTCCAGGCTTTGACCACTACAATTGTGTTAATTTTAAAACGACCATAAAAAATATTTACAAGGTACAGTGGATTTCTAGGTCAGGACTCAAGGCTTAGGAAGAAAGTGGAATTAAAAGGCACTTCAGTTAAAAATAAAAAACTATGCTAAATTTGCCCTAGTTTAACCTTCTCCATTTATATGCGAGGAAACTATAAGTTATTGGGAGATGAAATCACTCCAGGGTTACACGTTTTTTTTTTTTTCTCTGTTTGTCTTTTAAATCTGTTTCTCATTTTCCCTTTCTTTCTCTCTTTCTCTCCCTCACCCCAATAAAAGTAGATATCAGATTCACATGCACATATAGATGATGGTTTTCCTACACTGCTAAAACATTGGACCTAAATTGGATAACTAGAGATAGTTAAGTGCAACTCTTTTATTTCACTTTATGAGTAAACAGTGGTCTGGAGAATTAGAACTGTGCTGTTGAAATTTTTAAAAAGTCGGTGACTGGCAAAGCTGCAACTTGAATCCAGGTCTCTTCTCTATTCAGTTATCTTTTCACTAAGGCATGCAACTTTCTTATTATCTTATTTTGCACCCTTTTATTGCAATCATTCATTAGCAAATATTTCCTGAGCTGCTGTTCTGTGTTGAGTTAAAAGACAGCAGTCAGCATACATGGCCGCTGCCCTCAGGAGCTCACCTTTTAGTGAGGAGACTGAGAAACAAGCAGACAATGCCTGTAGAGTACAGCATTAGAAATAAGGTGGTGTGGTTGGGCTGTGGGTGGGGACTGTCAGTGAAGGTTCCTGTTACAGGTGATACCGGGGAATGTGATGGTCATTGCAGGAAGAATGCTGTTCAAGACAAGGGCTGAGAAGAAATACTGAACTGGGAAGAAGAGAGTTAGCATGATGCCAGGGCAGAGCACAGGCCTTGATTTAAGACCCAACAACGTGACTTCGTAGCTGGATGATCTTGGTTCAGTCACTCAATACTCTTATCCTCATGGATTAAGATCAGGATGATCGTTATAACACTTAACTTTCATTGTACTCATATATACCCTTTCTTGAGCACTAGGTCTCTGGCCTTGAGTTAATTACTTGGATATTAACATGACCTTCACATTTTAGAGGAGGAGGTTTCCTAGCAGGTGCCTAGCAGAGCCTTGATTTCATCTCAAGCCTGAATCCAGAGTCCAAGCTCAGAAGTTGTGCCACCTCTGAGAGTACAAGACTGTTGAAGATTCAATGAGCTGATATAATTATAGGAAAATAGACATTACAAGAATGTTAGTTGTTTTTTCTGCATCATAAAACGTCCTCTATAACCACTTTGTAGGCCAATGCATGGATATATATGTGTGTATCACTCATATTTCTTACCTGCCATTTTTATATTCATGGTGGAAAGGCAAAATTTGAAAAAGGAAAATGTTCATTAAGAATATAAAACACTTGGGCCTATAGGGAAAAATGTTTTTCTGACTTTTAAATTTCCACTTTTTAGATAATCCCTTGAATGTATATCTTGATACTACGTGGGCATCAACCCCTGAGGGAGTGTTGGATCTCCTTCCTGTCCTTCCCCATTATATGGTTTATTGGGTTTTTACTCTCATTGATTAAACTCTTGCTATGTCCTAGCCACTGTGATGAATCCTCACAGCATCCATAGCAGAAATGAAGACCTAGGCCTGGAGAGATTGCCTGCCTTGCTGCTTAGCAAGTGGAGGAGGCAGGATGCAACCCTGAATCAGTCTAGCTCCACCATTCAAGCTGTAACCATGAAGCACTATTGCCTGTCTCCTTGATTTGCATTCTTTTATGCATTTTCTGGCACCACAATGGAGCAAATGTCATGCTTACCTATCTAGAATCCTGAGCTACATCTTTTGAATCCCACCTTGATTTATGACCTTTTTCTTAGTGTTTCTAGTATATGTGTTTTGATAGGTCTGGGAGGTTGGAAGTGAAATTACCTCTTTGGTAAGTTTACCCATATTCAGTGGGAGGGCAGGAGTATGGTATTTTTATGGGATCTTTGAGGTGTCGCCTTTCTGTCTGGAAACCTTTGTTGGCCAGTGGCACCTTTGCCTGAGTTCTTGTCCTGTGTCTAGGAAGAATGAGGTATACAGACAAGTGGAGGGTGAGCAAGATGAAGAGGAGCTTTATTGAGTGTTAGAACAGCTCAGAGGAGACCTGCAGTGGGTAGCTCCTCTCTGGAGGAAGATCATCCCATCAAGTGTTCAGCTCTCACCAGAGAGGAGGCCCTTCTCTCTGCAGGCAGGTCGTCCCATCATCTCTGGAGCACTCCGCAGAGAGGAGGACCTGGAGAGGGTAGCTCCTCTCTGCAGCTGGTCATCCAGAAGTCTGCTCAGCTCTGGCTGAGCTTGGGGCTTTTATGGGCCTCAGAGAGAAGTGGGTGCCAATTGGTCCATGGTTGGCCATGGGTGGGCCCAGAAGAGGCACTACAAGTTCCCACTCTGGTTCGTGGGACTGGCAGCCCCGCCCCCATCCTTCAGCCCCTCCCTGGCCTGAAGGTGGGGCCTCACCAGGGACCTGCCCCCTTTTGCCCAGGAACCTGTCTCCCTCCTGCTGCCGTTCATGGCACCCAGGCTGTAGGTGCCAAGGGGCCCCCTGCAGGCCAGCACTGAGCTGCTCTCAGCCCCATTTCGGCTTCCCTCTTATCCTCATCAGTGCTCAAAGTCCAGAAGGGGGCTGAGGTGTCAGGGGCCTGACATGTCAACAGTGCCCTGAGTGTGTGCACACCTGGCTGGGCTGTGACAGTGCCCAGGCTCACCCCACTTTGCTTCAAGATGGGAGCAGGTGCCAATAGCAGGAAGAAGCCAGGCCATGGGAGCAGGTATTTCCAAGCCTTCCTGGGCCTCCAAGAGGGCAGGGATGCCTGGGTCCACAGCTGTGGTTTGGGCGGCTGCAGCTGCACCCAGGAGGGAGGTGCTTCTGCCTGCTCTGAGGAGTGGGAGGCCCAGGTCTGCAGTCATAGTTTGGGAGGCTGCAGCTGTGCCTGGGAAGGCTGGGTTCCTGCTTGCTCTATGGAACAGGAGGCCTGGGTCTGCAGCCATGACTTGGGTGGCTGCAGCTGCATGTGGGGAGTTCCTGCCCCACCAACTCAGAAGGGACAGTGCTCCCACTTGTCCCCAGCTCCTGCCAGCTCCACGGAGTGTGGAACCCTGGGCATTGCCTCCCTGCTGCAGCCACACTGCTGCAGCTAGCGTGATGGCAACGGCTGCTCCAGATAGGTCGCCACTGCCATTGGTATGATGGTTAGACTTGAACTTACATGGTTTCTTTCGATAGCTGCCATTTTGGGAGCATTTGCCCTTTGCTGATTGATTCTTACTGCAAGCTGATGAGGTAGATGTTACTGCCTTCATTTTACAGAGGAGGAGATGGAAACTCAAAACTACAGTGTTTGAGTCACTGGTTTCCAACACCTAGTAGGTCTCTGGAAATGTGTGTTGCTCAGGTCCCCAGACAAAAAAGGCACCTAGCTCTGATTAGAAACTTTCTTTCAGACTTCCGAACTCTTACTTTTTTCAGAGTACCATTTTGTGTGACTTTTTTTTGTTTTTTTTGAGACAGGGTCATGCTCTTTTACCCAGGCTGAAGTGCAGTAGTGCCATCACAGCTTACTGCAGCCTCAGCCTCCCTGGCTGAAGTGGTCCTCCCAAGTCAGCCTCCCAGGTAACTAGGATTACAGATGTATGGCACCATGCCTGGCTAATTTATTTATTTTATTTTATTTTATTTTATTTTATTTTATTTTATTTTATTTTATTTTATTTTATTTTATTTTATTTTATTTTGTGGAGACAGGGTCTCACTGTGTTGCCCAGGCTGGTCTCGAACTCCTGGGCTAAAGTGGTCCACCTGCCTCTGCCTCCCAAAGTGTCGGGATTATAGGTGTGAGCCACTGTGCCTGGCCTTGTGTGATTTATATAGTCAGTTTACATTCCTGGGCTTCATTCTTTCCAGCTTTGCTAAGAGATATTCAGAACAGCATGGAGGTTAAAAACATAAACTCTGCAGCCAGTAGCATGGATTCCAGCTGTCCTTTGCTGGCTGTGTGACATTAGGCAAGTTGCTAAATCATTTTGAGCCTCAGTTTCATTATCTTTAAGGTCAGAATAATAACAGTACCAATCTTTTGAGATTATTGTAAAAATTAAATGAGTTAAGTTTTGTAGGTATAATTCTTAGAATAGTATCTGGTATATGATAAGCTTTTAACATATGTATTAGCCATTAAAAGTTATTATTTACTTTTCAAACATTTAGTAAGCCACTGCCATGTGTGAAACACTGTGCTAGAAAATGGGATGGAATCCTAGTGTCCCTCTCAGCTCTGACATTCAGTGACAGATGTCAACAACCAACCCTTCCATCTCTTGGGGAAGCACTGCATGGTTTGCTCCAGGGGACTTACTGACTCTCAACTTACAAATTGTTATGTGGAAAATGAAAAATGCATCTAGCTATTACTTTCTTTTACTCATCTTGTTCACGTAGGTGGGTTGCATTTTACTACATAATTAAGAATAAGGAACAAAAATGGAAGGAAGCATATTTGTAGCTTATGTGTAGGTTAAAATTTCCTGATAAGTAAAACGGACTCATAAACAGGAAAGACAATAGCACTATTTAAATGGGAAAATCCATAGCTATCATGATATGGAGTAATGCCATTTTGCTGTTTTGGTCTTGAAGGAGGAAGGCATGAACATATTTGCACATATTGTCCTTGGCTAAAGCTGGTCCTGCAAAGAGCAGGACACATTTGGACAGGAAAATTGTATTCCGACCACCAATTTGCATAGTCCTAGCTTTCCGCTCATCTTTCTACTATTGTATATATCAGGAGATATAGTCCTCAACCTCACACAAACCAGACTGAAAAGGGGAAAATTGGAGAGGCTTAGTATATTTCCTCTCTTTTAGAACTAGCATGAAATACCAGTTTCTCATTGCTTACAGTATACGGGATTTAGCAAGACACACTAGAAGGTGTCAGGATGTTAGGGTCAGATCATCTACTTCTGCCCGTATAAATGTCTGTGCAACCTCTAGCAAGACACAATCTCTTTCTGAGACTTTTTCCCTCTTTGTAGTGTGGGGAGAGTAATTAAACTTGCCTGTCTATGAAAAGCCTGGTAGAGTGGATAGTACACGGATTTTGTGGTCCGAGAGACCTCACTTGAATCATGGCCTCTCCACTTCACTGAACTGCTCAGAACCTCATCTGCACACTGAAGATATTATTACCTGTGTCTTCAAACTGTTATGGGGTTTAATGTTGTATTATGTATTTGGTTGGAATATAGCAGTCCTTCCTTTTAAAATATTAGGGCCCTTTAGACTCTTTAATTTTCCCAGTGTAACCCATTTTTTATTTTATATGTAAGAATATATAGTTTTATTGTGAAGTACAGAATATATATATTCTTCTTTATATATATTTATATGTAATACATATAAATATATTATATATAATATATAAATATATATTTATATATATTCTTTATATAATACATAAATATATGTTTATGTATTCTTTATATAATATATAAATATATATTTATATATATTCTTTATATAATATATAAATATGTTTATATATTTTTATATAACATAAATATATATTTATATATTTATATATATTCTTTATATATAAAGAAGATATATATTTTCTGTACTTCATAATAAAAAATATATATTCTTATATATATTCTATATATACAAAGTATATATTCATACGTATATATTCTTTATATATATATATAAAGTCTATGATAGCGTATGTGGATGATTTATGAACAATAATAATAAAAATCCCAGTGCCCATTTCTCAAGCCAAGAAATAGAATGTCATGAGACTCTAGAAGCTACCTAAGGCCTTTCCTTCATAGCATCCTGATACCCCTTCCCCAGGTAACTTCTAACCTGAATTTTGTGTTATTTCCTTAAGGTCTTTCTCTCTCTATATATATATATATACATATATATATATCCCTAAACAATTTATTATTTCTTTTCATTTTGCCTGATTTTGAACTTTATATAAGTGGAATCACATTGTAACTTCTTCTCGTGACTTTGATTATCATTGTATTTTCAAGATTTCTTGATATCGATACAGTTTATTAGTAGTATTCCCTTCTAAGAGTGTATATATTTATTTTCTAATCTAGTAATAGAGGATGTTTGGCTAATATCCAGTTTTTTTGCTATTATGAAATATATTGCTACAAATATTCTTCTATCCCTTATTATATATAAGCTGAATATGTTAATATATGCTAAGTATAGTTTTCAGTTTATCTTTCCAAGTGAAAAGGTCTTTATAGATCATTTAATCTGATATCTTTCCTCTGCCTGCGTGCAGAGCAGGGTGATTCCTGAGGTGTCACGGCTAGTAAATGGTAATGTGGGGCCAGTAACCCAGGTCTCTTGTTCCAGTATGGCTCATCTCTGTGACTAGACCACATGTCTGACAGTGTTTTGTTTAATTTTAAATGACTTCTCTTGCTATTGATTTTCTAATTTTGGAATTTTCATTTGGACTGGTTCTTTAATACTCTCTTAGAAATATGCTTGCATTTAGTGTTGAGATCCTTTTGCCCCCATCCCCAAAGTTGGGACAGTGCTCGCTTCTCTTGGGCCCTGTCCCATTAATGCCAGCCCTAGGCATACCCCATGGCCATGAACCTGTGATAAACTTCTACCTCTTCAGCAGTGAGAGCCTCTGAGACATGTTTCAACCAGGGAAAAAATCAAAATAGACCCAAAATGGCCAACGGAGAAAACTGCTGAGGAAAGAAATCTGAATCCTTACAAGGCACTTTCTTAGGAAATATCCCTTTACTATAAATAGGAATGGATATTCAATTTTAGGTCCCTTTAAAAAAACTCTCTAGGACTGAAATTAGATTTGAGGCTGATGGAATGAATATAGGATGGGGTGATTCTGTGCTGTGCTGGGGCATGTCTGAAAGTTCTGAGCAGCTGGTGCAGTGGAACAGCTGAGCCACAAACAAATATCAGCTGATTTTAGCACTTCTTATTTCTAGATGTCCTGGTTTGTTAACTCCAGCCCTTGGTTCCCTGTATGCTCTCTTCATGAGGCGTCTCAGCATTTCTCCCTGCCTTCCAGTGACTGTACAATCTTGGGTACATTATTCCCTTTTCTGGGTCTCAGTCTCCTGTATCCTACAATGAGAGGAGTCCCTAATATTTATTAAGAACTTAGAATGTGCCAAGCGCCTTCCATATATCATCTCATTTAGTTTTCACAAAAACACTATGAGGTGAGAACTATTATTATCACCATTTTACAATGAGGAAATTGAGTGTAGGGAATTGAGGCACAGTTGGCCCACCTGCTCCCCATTTAATGGGATTTGGAAATGTGTTCTGGGAGAGATCTGTTCCGGCCTCTGCCTCCGTGCTCTGCAGTTGGGAACGATTCTATGTCACGGGTGTCCCTCACTCACATGCCTCTCTCTCATCTCTCAGCTCTAGAACCACAGAGGAGAATGTAGCTAGGATTCCAAATTCTTGCCATGCACTTGTCTGTAGAGAGTGTCCGTGGTTTCTGTCCTATGAAAGGGGTCTGTAACCCCCAAAAGTTTAAGAACCACCGACTTAGGTGTTAAAGTCACTAAGGCAGTAAACCAACACAACTAACCATTTGAAAACAAAGAAATAGATCCATTTGCCTATGAAGAAATAAACTTTCCAAGGCTTTGATGGGTTTCTTTTTAGTGATCTGACCAAATATTTTGGAGTTGTGAAATTACAGGGCAAATTCATTGTAAGGAATTCACCTAAGAAATGAAAAGTAGTAATAATCTATCTTTTGAGTTTTACTATATTTAGTCCAAATATTTCATCTCTTTGTCTTTTCATGGAAAGGTTTCAAGAGAATTGAAAACAACTCTGCTTATTACTTATTCAAAGATAGTGACGGAAGTGCTAACGGTAAAGAATAAAAGATGTTGTATGTGTAGTGCATGCATGTGTGTGTTTGTGTGCTTGTGTGTGTGTATTTTGGGTGGGTGTCTTAATCTATTGGGGCTGCTATGACAAAATGCCATAAACTGAGTAGCTAATAAACAACTTAAGTCCAGGATCCAGGTGCTGACAGATTAGGTGTCTGGTGAAGGCCTGCTGTGTAGTTTAAAGATAGTGCCTTCAAGTTGCGTCCTTCTGCAGTGGAAGGGGCAAGGCAGCTCTCTGAGGCCTCTTTTATAAGGGGACTAATCCCACTCACTAGGGCTCACCTCTCATGACCTAATCACCTCAAGAAGACCCCACCTCCCTAATACCATCACATTGGCAATTAGGATTCAATATATGAACTTTAAAACATTCCAACCATATCAGTGGTTAATCAGTTTATAGTTAAACATGAAAGAAATTGGTGTTTTGTAGTTGGTGCCACTGAGAAGGTATAGGAGTAATGCTCCTAAGTAAATTGCAGAAAGTTTAGAATTATTGAATAATAGTAATAAATACTAACAATGATTTACGTTTTTTGAGCACATGTTGTGTGTTAGTCTCTCTTTTAAGGACTCCACATGGCTTAATCTAATTATTGTAATTGCTGTTCAAAGTAGGTAGTGTTTCTTTGTTCATTTACAGATGAGAAAAATTGAGGTTCACATAGGTTAAGGACTTGCCCAAGGTAAGGATGAGAACCAATCTGGGGTATATTCAGTTAAATCTGATGGCAGGTATCTCATATGGAACAAATTAATATATTCATTCTTCGACATGTCCTTCTATATAATTGTTTAACTCTGAGACTTTTACCTCTTCCTCAAAGGTCTAAGGTGAAGGAATCCAAAATTGATTAAATGCCTAAGATGGGACAAGTGTCTTTAGATATGTTATTAATTCTTCAATACTATCTTATACATATATTTATAATGATACTCTTCTGATTGTTGTATCATTACCTGTTTGTCTTCCTCTTAGACTATGAGCTATTCATTTATCTCTGTATTGGTGATTTTTGCTGTGGTAGTAACAGATATCCCAGAATTTCAATAATTCTGCAGGTCGGATGCAGCTCTGTTTAGTTCTCTTCCAAAAGTCTGCTCATGCCAGAAATCCAGGCTCTGGGAGCAGCCCCATCTGGGCTATGTGATTCTCATGTCAGAGGGCAGAAATACAGAAGTCTTAACTGAATGACATATGTATACAGTTTCTGCTCAGTTTTGTGTACATTATGTCTACTCATATTCCAGTGGCCAAAGGAAAAAAAAAAGTCTCATGGCAAACCCGACAATGGAGCACAGAATATTCTCCATCTACCTTAGATATTGGCAGTGACATGGCAAAGGATGCAGATGAACAATCCTTTTATTGGAAGGACACAGATATTGGGAACCATAATGCAATATGTTACCATCTGGTTGCTCCTAGAACTGCATTTTTATATGAGGAAACTGAAGTGTAGAGATGTTACATACATATGTGGTCATATTTATGTGATCTGAGCTAGTTATCTGATTCCACGTCCATGCTCTTTCTCATTTTCAGCTTCATCTCTTTCTGCTCTAAAACATAGACTGTCTTCTTGGGACATGCTGAGTTTTATGTCATTCATCCAGACACTGAGTACATTCATGTATTTGTGACTCAGTATTTGATATTACATCTGTAATTGCAGTTTCTTCTTTCAATACTACCTAATGCTCTTTATTTTTTTGTCTGAAAGCTTTACTTGTTTTTCTTAGGCTAGGAGGGATGCCATTTCTCAGTGTTCTGTGGTGTCCTCTGTTCCCTCACAGTGCTTATCTCTCTGCATTTTAATTGTGTGTTAAAGGGGGGCCTCTCTCCTAACTAGACTGGACATTTCTGGAAGGCTGCGGGAGGGGCTGCTTTTTACCTATGGGTCCTTACATAATAGGCGACATATAAAAAGTATTGTAAATGTGCGTTGAAATAATGGATAAACAGAATTTTCCTCCAGAAAAAATGAGACTTGTTATTGAAGGGCCGGTGCTCATGTATTTCATAAACAAGTCAAGTCAGTTGGATTTCAATCATTCCAGAACAAAGGGCCTGGGAAATCTGTCCACTATCATGACTTACATGTGTTCTGTCTGCATATTGTTCTTTCTTTTAAAACTCAAGCAATTTTTGTACAATGTGTTTCCAAAGTGATTTTTATCCCTTTATTTTATGGTAGAAAATAGACTCCAATTATTCTCTTTAATTAAGTGATTTTATTTTATTAATTGTTTCTAACTTACAGAATTCCCTAGAGACCCTTTACATGTTTCCAAATGAAGGCAGGAAGAAAAGCACATTAATTATACACACAAACTCCTTTTGGCGAATTAAACATGATGCACAGTGAACATGAAATGACTTGCCCTCCTGAGCTATCAATCTTGTCATTAGTGATGGCTTGTATGAGTAGTATTGACATGGGCTTATCCAAATTGGATTCTGCAAAGAGTCATTTTAATTTTGCACAAATGTAAGAAGATAAAGTAGTCTGATGGGCAGTTTGTTTTAACCCCTCCTTTTGACAAGTGGCTGGGTTTTTTCTGTTTGTAATACCGCCTAGTACTTTTTGGAGTTTAAATTTTTTTTTCAAATTTTAATTAATTAATTAGTTTAAAATTGACAGCTAACATTGCGTATTTTAATCACGTACTGCATGTTGTTATGAAGTGTATACACATTGTGAAATTGTTAAGTCTAGCTAATGAACAAATGCATTACCTTGCATACTTGGTGAGAGTGCATAATATCAACTCTGCATTTTTCAAGAATACAATTTATTGTTATTAACTATAGTCACCTTGCTGTATAGTGGATCTCTTAACATTTGTTCCTCCTATCTAACTGTGATTATGTATAATTTGACCAATATTGCCCCATCCTTCCCCCACTCCCAAGCACACCAGCCTCTGGTAGCCACCATTCTACTCTCTACTTCTATGAGATCAACTCTTTTAGATTCCACATGTTAGTGAGGGGATATAATATTTGTCTTTCTGTGCCTGGCTTATTTCACTTAACATGATGTCCTGCAGGTCAATCCATCTTGTCACAAATGGCAGGATTTCATTCTTTTTTATGGCTGAATAGTATTACATTGTGTATATACCACATTTTCTTTATTTATTTATCCTTGATGGACACTTAGGTTGTCTCCGTATCTTGGCTATTATAAATGTATTGCTATAAACATGGGTGTGTGGATATCTCTTCAACATACTGATTTCATTTCCTTTGCATATAATTCCAGTGGTGAGATTGCTGGATCATATGGTAGTTCTATTTTTAAGTTTTTAAGGAACCCCCATACTGTTTTCCACAATGGCTGTACTAATCTACATTTCCATCACCTGTGTATAGGGGTTGCCATTTCTCTATATCCTTGCCAATACTTCTTATTTTTATTTTTGATAGCAGACATTCTAACTGGGGTAGGGGGATATCTTATTGTGGTTTTGATTTGCATTTCACTGATGATTAGTGATATTGAGCATTTTTTTCATATACCTGTTAGCCATTTGTGTATCTTCTTTTGAGAGATGTTTATTCAGTCTTTTAACAATTTGTTAGTCAGTTTTTCTGTTTTTGCTATTGAGTTGTTTGAGTTCCCTATATATTTTGGATATTAACCTCTTATCAGATATATAGTTTGTAAATATGTTCTCTCATTCTGTGGGTAGTCTCTTCACTCTGTTGATTGGTTTGTTTGCTGTGCAGCAGCTTTTTAGATTGATGTAATCTCATTTGTCTATTCGTTACCTATGCTCTTGAGATCTTATCCAAAAAGTCCTTGCCGAATCCAGTGTCATGGAGCTTTTCTTATATATTTTCTTCTAGTAGTTTTGTAGTTTTGATTAATATATTTAAATCCTTAATCTGTTTATTTTTGTATATGGTGAGAAGTAAATTTTATTTTTCTGCATGAGGATATCCAGTTTTCCCAACACCATTTATTGAAGAGACTGTGTGTTCTTGGCTTCTTTGTTGAAAAGAAGTTGGCTATAAATGCATGGATTTATTTCTGAGCTCTCTATTCTGTTCTATTGGTCTATGTGTCTGTTTTTATGCCAGTACCATGCTGTTTTGGTTACTGTAGCTTTGTAGTATATTTTGAAGTCAGGTAGTGTGATGCCTCCAGTTTTGTTCTTTTAACTCAAGATTGTTTTGGCTATTTGGGCTCTTTTGTGGTTCCATAAGAATTTTAAGATTTTTTTTTTCTATTTCTGTGAAGAATGTTTCCAGTAAGGGTTACATTGAATCTGTAGACTGCTTTGGATAGTATGGTCATTTTAACAACATTTATTCTTCCAGTCCTTAAACATGGGATGTCTTTTCATTTATTTGTGTCTTCAATTCTTTATTCTTTTCATCACACAAAACAATAAATGTGATACACCACTGTAACAGAATGAAGACAAAAACCTTATGATCATTTCAATAGATGCACAAAAAGCATTTGACAAAATGTAACATCTCTTTATAATAAAAGCTCTCAACAAATTAGGTATGGAAGAAATATACCTCAACACAATAAAGGCCATATAAGAAGGACCCGCAACTAATATAATAATAAATGAGGAAAAGTTGAAAGTGTTTCCCCAAGATTTGGAACAAGACAAGAATGCCCACTTTCACCACTTCTGTTCAGCATAGTGCTAGAAGTCCCAGCCAGAGCAATTAGTGAAGAGAAAGAAAGAAAAGGCATTCAAAGTAAAAAGGAAGAAGTTAAATTGTCCCTCTTTGCAAATGACATGATCTTATATATAGAAAACCCTAAAGACTCTACCAAAAAACTGTTAGAGCTAATAAACAATTTCAGTAGAGTTGCAGGATACAAAATCAACATATGAAAATCAATAGTGTTTTTCCGTGCTAATACGGTTTGCCTGTGTCTCCACCCAAATCTTATCTTGAATTGTAGTTCCCGTAATCCCCATGTGTTCGGGGAGGGATCTGGTGGGAGGTAATTGAATCATGGGGATGGTTACCCCCATGCAGTACTCTCATGATAGTGAGTGAGTTCTCATGAGATGGTTTTATAAGGGGATTTCCCCCTTTTGCTTGGCATTTCTCTCTCCTGCCGCCACGTGAGAAGGATGTGTTTGCTTCCTCTTTCACCATGATTGTAAGTTTCCTGAGGCCTTCTCAGCCATGCAGAACTGAGTCAATTAAACCTCTTTTCTTCCTAAATTACCCACTCTCAGGTATTTCTTCGTAGCAGCATGACAAATTCACATGCTAATAGTGAACTATCTGAAAAAGAAACAAAGAAAACAATCCCATTTACAATAGCTACCAAAAAAAAAAAAAAAAAGGAAGAAGGTGAAGATCTCTACAATGAAAACCATAAATCAGTGATAAAAGAAATTGAAGAAACCACTTATATTTTATAGTACTATGGGGTTGGTAAAGCACCAGACCAGATATTATTTTGTCAAGCCACAGAGCAACCCTGGGAGATAGGTGAGTTTTACAGGTGAAGAAATTGAGGTTCTACAGTTAAAGGTTATGCATCAGATCATATAACCAGGAAGGGACAGAGCCTTTTCAGTTGTTGTCAGTATTATTTTTTTTACATTTCTCTGAGCAGGAATAGGGGTTGAGTATAAGCAAACTCCTTTCCTGTCATTTTCAGTGATCAAACGAGAGGAAATTCTGATGTGTTTATGTTAAATTGTCAATTCAGTAATCATTGTTTGGACACCTATTATGTGCTAGAGTGTATTGGTGATAAAATATAACATGTGTTGAACATGTACTGTGTGCCAGGCACTGTTCTAATGACTTCACAGGATGAACTTAGTTAATCCATGCAGTGACCCTATAGGATAGGGTCATTATTGTTTCCAATGTATAGTTGAAGCACAAAGGGATTAAAGTAAGTCTCTTAAAGCCACATGGCTTAAAAGTGGCAGAGTGGCACATCACAAGCTGTTAACCACTACCCAGTACTGCTTCTCCGGTGGTGGCTTTCTTCTCTTAAGATGCATGTGGTCTATTGCGAGAGGCAGTTAATTTCCAAGCAGTATTATAAGTTGCTGTGGTAGCTGTAGGATGGTATCAGTCCCCCAAAGAAGTAAGGACACATGGCTTTAGGACCTTCATTTGGCCACAGCTGAGCTTTGTTCCTACAAACTGCATCGTTTGAAAAGCACATTATATTTTCAAGACTTTTTTCTGTCTGAATGGAGTTTGTTGCAATACTTAGAAATATCCTAGGGAGATTATTTATTTTCTGAACTGATGAGAGAGCATGTCAGATTGTTGGACCAGATTCCATGAGAGAAGCCATTTGTTGTGCCCCTGATATGTGCTGGATGACCAAGACCCAGTTCTTGTCCTCAGGAGCTTCCCAAGGAGTGGAAATAAATGTGATATCATCAAAAGCATAAAACAACAGTTGAAGTTTATTGAGGACTTGCTCTATATGTCAGTTGCTATTCTAAGTTCTTGACATAACTTTTTATTGTAATTACTCTTATAGTAGGTATTTTACCTGCATGCTACAGATCAGAGGATTGAACTGAGCAAGTTTAAGTCATGTGTCCACTTTAAAGGCAAGGGCTTTTCTTCCAATAAAATGTTGAGGTAATTGAGTTTTACTGTCTTTGAAAAGGAGCAGGGAGCTGTAGCAAAAGCAGTGAAATTGAGTTTTACTGTCTTAGCACTCAACAACATTCACTGACTACTATGTGCTAAACACTGCTCTAGGTGCAAGGAATATAGCACTGAACAAACTCCAAATCTCTGCTTTCATGGAGCTTATGTTTCAGTGGAGGCAAATAGACAATAAATAAAATTAATAAGGAAATCTGGAACTAAATGTGATAAGGGCGACAGAAGAATAAAGTAGGGAAGAGGAAAAACTAGTGAATTAGGTTGCAATTTAAAATAGCATGCTTAGAGGACATTTTGTGTGTGTGTGTGTGTGTGTGTGTGTGTGTGTGTGTGTGTGTGTGTTTATTGAGGTTTAACAAAAAAGCTAGTTACCACTACCACTTCTGCTTAAAGCCTATTATTTCTCTCCATTGCCTTCATAAAATTCTTATGTACAAAGCTTTTCATAACAGTTTACCTCTTCAGACCCATTTCATATGACTCCCAATAAAGTATACTTCAGGTCCACGGGCCTGCCTACATTTTCTTGAAAATACCATGAAATACCACGAAATACCACGATCTTTTGCCTTTATGTTTTTGCCTCTGCTGTTTCCTGTGCTGGTGACCCACTCTCACCATCTAGGAAGCTTTTCTAAACATTGTTCACACTCATGCCCCACCCCCAACTCCACTCTATCCCCATAGCACTAGTGTTTATCTCACACTATATTAAGGTTGTCTCTGTTAGGTGACCCTCTACCAGTAGACTGTGACTTTTTCAACCTGGGAATTATTTTCTCTCTAAGTGCTTAATAAATGTGGAAGGAAGGACGGAAGGACGGAAGGAAGGAAGGAAGGAACGAAGGAAGGAAGGGAAGGAAGGAAGGAAGGGAGGATGGAAGGAAGGAAGGAAGATAGATAAGTAGGTAGGTAAGAACCAAGGATGGAAAAAAAAATGTATGCCAGGAAGGAAAGGAATTTAATAAAGAAGGAAGGAAATTAGGAAGAAAAAGAAGGGAGAAAGGAATGAAACAACTAAGGGAAAAGGAAAAAAGAGAAGGAAGAGGGAAAGAGGGAAGGAAGAAATCAAAGGTTTTTGACCAAGATTGTATCTTAGAGACATTAATTTAAGCATCATGCAAAAGAACGTGTAGTTGTTTCATCCTGGTGTGCCTCTACCTCACTTTAGGAGATCTTCTAAAGTTTCTTTCTTTGGGCCAAGAAGACACTCAGTTTTGGGTGGCCCTTAGGAATTCACTCTGCTAATCGTGGAGAAGACAGGGCTGATGGAGGAAAATGCCTGTACACATTTCTCTCATGGCACCCCTTTTCCCAGTAGCATGATAAATCCTGGAAGTCCTGATGGGATATTTTAATCACAGCTTGCAGTCCTTCAGATCCCAACCATTGACAGTTGATTCACTCCTTTTCATGCCTGCTGCCTGTCTCCAGTTATGGTAGCTCTTATGCATGAGTCTAACATTAGCAGACAAAGCATGATGGATTGCTCAGGGTTCCCTTCATCTACAGAACTAGAGATTGCTTCCTTTTTCAGACTCTCAGGACCCATGTGGAACACCATCATGAATGAAAGAAGAAAGTAGTACAATATTGGATGTGCCTGTTTGCTGCCACTGTTTAGAAAGAGAATGATGCATTGTGGGGAATGTAAGTGTATAGCGTACATCCTAACCCCCCACCCTCAACCCAACAGCAACTGATGTGGAAAATCATTGATCATGATCAATTCCCTAACTGAGTCTGGCAATTTCATTGAAGATGTCATACTACTTTCAAATCAGAATAGTAAACAATTTCCAAAATTGAATCACAAAAAGAAAAGTCAACCCACATAAAGTCTTTAGATTTTTGAAGTGATCTAAGGTCCAAAAGGATTAGGATTGATTGATTTTTATCTTGGAAGTAGGTTCAAGGCAGCTCTCAAATCTGTGGTCTCTCTGGATATGATGCTAGGAATGTCAGCCAGATACTACTTTATTTTTATTTTTTAATTTGATTCTAGGACCCTGAGTCTGTATGTAATGTTTCAGTGAGCAAAATAGTTATGTTTGGCTCCAATGAAAGATTGATAGAAGCGATTTTCAGATGTGAAATCAAAACAGAGTGAAAAAATGTCACGTTTAAATAAAATGCAGTACTTGGAGGCATCATGTGGTCTCATAATAAATGAATTCATGGCACAAAGTTGACAGGTTTTGAAGGAGAATTCCTTTCAAAAATTTGAGGTGATTCATTTTTATGATTAACTGCAGTAAAAACAATTACTAGAGAATTTTTAAGTGAAAGGAAAAGAAGCTTTGAGGTGTTTATAGATAACATCCGGCTGCCTTCATTTTTATACTTCGCCTCATGCAAGCTATGAAGTTGTATGTGTATGAAGTTTGGCTGAAGGCCCTGGGGCTCTGGGGACACTCATCCATCCCAGGCCTCATCTGTTATTCACAGTGTGGAAGGGGGAGGAGCAGGGAGCTGTAGCAAAAGCAACGTGGAGAAGTCCACCAGCTTTAGACTCAGGCAGACCTAAGCGTGAATAACTCAGTATGACCTCAGGCAGGCTACCTAACTTCCTGGCATCTCCCTTTCTTCTGTTGCTTAAAATTGAGACAAAATGAGATAGAAGTGAATGCTGAGGTCCAGCATGTGACCTTGCACATACTCAGCAAACGACAAAAATCGAAGCCATGGCAAGCACAAATGATATTTATTTCACCAACATTGATGGGCATTTACTCTGTTGTCTATTGGAAGCTCTGTACTTGATGTTGTACAAAAGACTTGCCATTCATCTCAAGGATCTCGTAATCCAGAAAGGAGGTGGATGGACTAACAAGGAATGGAAAACCATAGGCAGAATAGGACGGAACAGCCATATCCTCCTTGAGGACAGAGAGAGTATCTCAACCGTGTAATCAGGTCTAGCATGGTGTCTGGGTCATGTGGAGCACTCAGTGAATATCTGCTGAATAAATTGAGTTGAAAAGATAATGAAAGTTGGTGGAAGACAAAACTGAAAAGTGCTATGTATTAGTCAGGTTTCTCTAGAGATACAGAACCAATAGGATGTGTGTGTGTGTGTGTGTGTGTGTGTGTGTGTGTGTATGGAAAAAAATATATATATATGGAAAATATGTATACATGGAAAAATATTTATTATAAGGAATTGGCTCATATGATTACAGAGTCTGGCAAGTCCAAAACCTGCAGCTTAGGCCAGCAGCCTTGAAACTCAGGAGAGCCAACAGTGCGGATGAATTCTAAAGGCGGTCTCTTGGACTGTTCTCTCTTGTTTGATTCTCTCTTGTTTGGGGCTGCTGGTCTATTTGTTCTGTTCAGGCCTTCATCTTATTTGAGGAAGCTCACCCACAAATAATCATCAATTATTATTGATTGAGGGTAATCAACTTTATTCAAAATCTACTGATTCAAATGTCAATCTCATCCAAAAACACCCTCCAAATTGACACCAAAAATTAAATGTCATACCCTAGGAGAAATTAATTCTAAAAATATTCTTCAGGAAATGTTCCAAATTACTAGAATGTGTGGGTTCAAATCTTACTCCTTCAGTTTCTTTCTGTGTATCTTTAGACAAATTTTTAAATTTCTATGCCTTGGTTTCTTGGTCTGTAAAATGGAGGTGATAATAGTACTTATGCCATAGAGTGGTTGTGAAGTCAATACAAGGAATTATAGCAAGTGCTCAGTAAACTAGAGCTGCTGTTGGTAGCATTAGAAATATGCAAGCTTTTGAACTTAGGTATACCTCTTCAAGCCAAAATTCGTCCAACATTTAAAAAACATATTTTGGGTAAAAGTAGTTTTAGATTATATGAACAAATTTTCAAGTTGCTGTAAGTACTATTTGTCATCTACTGTACTTAAGTACTTTATATGCATTTTTCAATTTAATCATTATCAGAAACATGGCATTAGGTATATTCTTGTACCCATTTCCAGATGATAAACTGAGGCTTAGAAGGATTAAATGGTGTACTCCAAGTCATATAGTGACTCAGCAGCTTAATGGAGTCTCATTCATAATACTCTTGACACTTCTTCTGATCCTTTTTCCATCTTGTCATGCTTGTGTCTTGTTGGATGGAACAAAGTCAGCCAGGTATATGTTTTCTTCCTTCTTTGATTTGGAAATGCAGTCATTTTGGGGGTTCACATCTAATGTTTTTCTTTCATGTAAAGGGATTATAGGTATTCATGTTTTGCATTTAGTTTTGATTGTTTCTCTACTTTGCTTCATTTTCTTTCTGACTATAGCTAGGCCTCCTAGAAAATGACAGGTGCAAAACACACCACATTTTACATGCTAAGTAGTTGGGTAGTTATTTCTGAGCAGGGAGAAATGACAAATAAACATGTGTGGGTGTTTTATCCAAATTCATTGTCAGGAGACTGGGATGTTTGCAACTGATTGGCCCCATGAAAGTCAATGATGGCCTTAGCTGAGTTCTGCTTGCTTTCACTCACACCAGGGGTCCACCCTGCTCTGGAAAAATCACATGAAAGATGTGTATGCGCACATGCATGCATGCTTGTGTGTGTAATGTTCACACACACACACAACCCTATGTGTATTACCCTTTAGTCCCTTCCCTGCCTACATCTGCAACCAACTTGTTATCCCTATCCTTAATATCACCTTATACAATTACTGTACAGAATTGCTTGCAGCAATTCTTAGTGGGTCTTAGTGGGCTGTGCTCGTTTGTGCCTCTGGAATTCTGAGTTCTTCCTGACTTGAATGTTCAACTCCCCTCCTTTGTTTCCTTGATGAACTTACATGTGTGTTTCAAAACCTGATACAGCCCTGTGAAGGTCGAAGACATGCCTTTCCTTCATACCCCCAAATGACTTCCGTTCTTTTTGGTGTCTCCTCTTGGACTTGTGCCTACTTCTGTGTTGTCCTTACAGTGCTGAAATGTGGTAGATTTATTTCTGAGCAGGGAACCAGTATAGCATAGTGTTTAAAGATCAAGTCTTTGGAGTCTGCAAAACCTAGATTTGAGTTCCAGTTCTGTCACTCCCTAGTTTTTGAAACTTGAACAAGTGACTCAACGATTTGAACCACAATTTTCTCATTTGTAGACTGCAGATAATAGTGCATCTCTTCATAACATTAAGTGGATAATGGACATGAAACAAGTGGCACAGTGCCCAGCCCATGGCTAGTATGTAAGAAGTGAGTTGCTGGTGTGACTACCTCAATGTGTCTCTCTCTTCTGTTTCATTCGAACCCTTTGAGGTCAGGGGCCTCTTCTTATTTATTTCTAAATTTGTAGCTCCTAACACTGCGTGCTCAGTATATCTCTGGTAAATTCTGTATGAGCCAGATATATAGACTCATCTTACAAACGCACAGGCTGTGGTTAGCAAAGTTCACCGTAGTCTTTCATTAAGCAGACATTCATTTTATCTTAGTGTTTGGGCATGTGACTTGAATAGCTATTTTTTTTTTGAAGACACTTGAAGCCAGCTGTTGTGACTTTGTGTGAATCCAACTGGAAATTGGCATTTACTTCTCTTTCATTCTCAAGCTCTTTGTCCCTTTTTGGTGCCAGTCAGAGGTATGGGCATGCTTTTGATTGGGTCAGCCAGTCAGGAACTTGTAATTATTGCTTCTCTCCCTGAGTAGCGCCCAGCAAAGTGGATCTAAATACAGAGGGAGCTCATTCCATTCAGCAGTCGGGGCCAAGTGGGAGCAGGATATGCTTTTCCTGATCTCCTGTCACTAAACATTTACCATGAACATGCAAGCATTAGCATATGGTTTGTTACTACACAGCTTTGAACCTACTAGGGTGGTCAATTCTTGTTGGTAGATGATATTGGTAAGTAAAGGAGTAGTAGACAGAAAAGGAGTCAAACAGGTATGTGTTCAAATCCTAGCTACACCACGTAAAAGCTGGTGGGATCTAAGGCCAATACTTCAAATTCTTTGTATCAGTGTCCTCATTTTTAAAAAGAACAAAAAATGAGGATAAAAATTGTGTCTGCATTATAAATCACTTGAAGATGAAATGACTTGGTACATATTTAACTTATCACAGAGCTCAGCATGTGGTACATTCTCTATTAAGGATAGTTGATCAGAGCAACTTTTCAGGATGATGTGCCAGCATGGGCTAGTAGGAAGAACCCTGGGCTATTGGCAATGTGGCCATTTGAGAAATCAAATCTATTTATAAATATCTGTGCCAATTGCAATGCTTTACTGCCATAGAAATGAAGTAGTTTGTGCTTCTCATTTCTTGCCCAGGAATAAATGTGTCTATGTCAGGATGGCCACTTGATGGTGAGATTCTGCAGACATAATTATTGAGGTAAAGAGGAGGCTACAATCAGTATTTTAGTCACATAAAAAGATATTCTTTTGTAGCTATCCTTGGACAAACTGCCAATGAGTATAATTAGTTTCTGTCCGGATCTTTATTTTGATTTCCCCCGCTAGGAGGGGAAATTCTCACTGTCATGTGTACCTAATGCAAAATTCCTCCACAGATACTGGAATAATGCAGGCTGCTTTTTCCTTGAAGGTGCCTACATGGTAGGCTGTATGTTAATCATCAGTCCTGAAAAATGTCATTCAATAGCAGGGGAAATATGATAGTTTGTGCATTCATGGAAAAGAGATTATTTTCAAACATTTCAAAATCCCGATGACCTTCGTCAGAGAGCTTCCTTTTTTTTCCCTTACTTATTTGGAGAAAAGATACTACAGCTTTCCATGTTTTATAAATATGGCTTCGAGTGTAGTGGAGGAAACTTATTGTCTGAAAATTAAAGGCTAAATGTATGATACTCAGTCAGCGTGGGTGCTAAGGACCCTGCCACACACACACACCAAAAAAATCTCTTCTTACCCAGAATACAGTGGGCATTTTACAAAAGCAAGGTTAAAGAGAAGTGCTTAGAAATCACTACCAGTGCCTGATGGTTTGGGATGGAAAATATCCTAATTCAAGCATGAAGGAGAGTTGAAAGAGAAGAACAATGAAACAAAAGTGGGCTGTGTTGAATTACTCAGGGTCACAGGACGAGTTATTACAAACAGGATGAAGAAAGCCCCACCCTTTTTAGAAAGTCAGGAGCTATTGGGATTACTTGCCTGGGACTTACTTTCAGTGAGGGAAATGAATGTTCAGTGGGCTTTAGAATGAGAGGTGGAAGGTTTTTTGTTCCATTGCCAGTTGGGAAGGAAATGGGCTTGAATTTTATGTTGGTTCTTATTACCTTCCCTACAGATGGCTGGACCCACCTCTTACTTCTGTGGGAGGAGCATGGTGTCTGGGCAGAGTTAAAGGCTGGGTCAAGGGCACATATGGCTTCTTTCTTGGAGAACTTTGGAGTCTTGTTGGAGAAATAAAAGAACCAAAACCACGTGTAGAGGGCTAGACAAGGGAGGCATTTCCAGTGGAGCTAAGTGACATGGCTCAGACTTTGTGTAGTTGGTTAGAGTCAGGCAGAAGGTAGTTGGCTGCAGGTTAGATACTGAGAACATCATGAAGGTTCTCGTAGAGGGGAGAAGAGGCATTCTAGTTGGCTTCATTGAGGGAAAATTGGTTTTCATTCCTGACTCTGGCAAGATGAGTGAAATGGGGAGAGTTACTGAACAGATGATGTATACATAACTGTGCCTCAGTTATTTCATCTGTACAACGGGGATGATAAATGTACTGGGTGCTTTAGAGATTAAATTAAACACAGTTAGCATCTGGTACTGGGCCTGACACTAAATACCAGTTTTTGCTTTTCAGCTACCTTATGAATATTTGGCAACCATTTATTTTTTATAGCTCAAGGGTCACCTTTAACATGAAGACTTGCCTTCTAAACTCTGATAAAACCACCCTCTCTCTTTTGGCCCTCCCTCTATCCTGTTCACAGCTCTGTTTTAGCCCCTGTGAAAATTTAGTGGACTTGCTTTATCAGTGATCTGTCTCCTACAGCAGATAGTGAGCCTCTAGGGGCAGGGACAAGTGTTTGCTCCTCTGTGGATTCCTATCTCTCAGCAACTTGCCTGGTATATAGGAAACACTCGGCAAGTTTTGAATACAATTTTGTCTCCTTCAGGCTCATGCTGATATGTTATTCGAGGTAAATTTATATTCCTGTGCTGCTCAAATACCCTTGTTGATAGTTCCAGGTCATGATGATCAAAGAGCCAACTATTCCACCTAGAAAGGAACCTGGAAAGTTTCAAGTTTAATTCATTTTCTTGAGGTTAGAATGAAAGTAAATGAATTTTCTTACAGTTTTAGAGGGGTGATGGAACCCCAAAGCTCATCCCTAAACAGCAGTGTAGTAACCCCCTCATCTTACCTGACATCTCTTGCCTACTGTGCACTTGCTCCTTTTAGCAGTAACTTAGCCACAGTACTATTGGGAAGACAAATCTGCCGCTTAAAAAAAAAATCTTGAAATACAGCCTAAAACCAAATTAGAATAGGCCTTTGGATTAGCTATGCCATTTCAGTCTTTCATTAGTGCTGATAATTAGCAGAATTTAGGATGGGCATTTAAATTATGGCTTGGACAACAAAACATCTCTAGGAATGAAATTACCATTCAACTTACATTTTCAATGAGATCTTGAAATCACTTAAATATAAATGAGGCTGAAGAGTGCTTTGATGCTGGGGGCTCTGAACCCTGGAACCAAAGTGGATCATTGGAATAATGATAAAAGTCACAATTGTGCTGACCATTATCTCATACATTTGTGCAGCAAATTAGAGTTTACAGAGCTCTTTCATACCATTAGAATCTTAGCAAATTAGAACGGGAAGAGATCATAGAAATCCTGTAATACCACCCCTTAATATATTGGGTGAGAAAAATGGGATATTTCGCTGCTGGTCACAGCAGGCCTATTTTGCAAGGTAGGCAGGGCAAGTATTATTATTCTTACTGCATAAAGTGAGGAAGCTGAAGATTGCAGATGAGAAATGTTTGGGCCGTGAGAAATGTTTTGCCCCATTTGGGGCAGGACTTTGCCACTGCCCTGCTGACCCCAAATCCTCTCCTAGTTTGTATAAGCATATTTGTTGACAGCTTCACCTCCCCAGAAGTGCCTTCCCTGGCCCTGCACTGAATGGGCTCTCCCTTCCTGCCTTTGTGTAATCACAATCTCTCCTTCCTCTGGTTGATATCATAGCTTTTATGACTACCTAACATTAGAAAAGGTATATTTTGGTTTATTTGTTGGTTTTCTCCACCAGTACGTAAGCTTCATGGATTTTGCCTATTTTGTTCACAACTGGAATCCAAGCACCGAACACTGCCTGGCATACCATAGGTACACAGTAAATGCTTGTTAAATGATGGAATGAATAACTGAAGGAGGTAGTTAACAAATTCAGATAGTATGGAGTAATGAGACTTAAAAAGAGCCTCAGTCTATCTTGAAAACTTGGCATACGTGTCTGAAAATTGGTCAGTTCATGTACACTGCTGTAACCTCAGCTTTTAGTGAATGAACTCATTTATTGAACAAATGTTCAGAGGAGCTTCTATACTCTAGACTCTTCCAGCTTCTAGAGAACAGTGACAACAAAACAGCCTAGAATTCCATGTCAAAGGAGAGCTTCCATTTTTGGTATACTGAGATGACAATAAATAAAGGATGTAAAGGAAATTTATTAATAAATTTATAAATTTGCATCTCTGTGTGTGTTATAACAAAGTAAAATATAAGTAGAAGAGCAAAGATAAGAATTGGGATTCCATTTTATAGCGGGTGGCCAGGAAGGTCTCCTGAGAATTGTCATATCACTATTTAATGAATGAATACTTAGTCTTTGTGTTTGTTGAAAGAATGAATGTTTAAAAATTCTGCCTTCACATCAAAATCTCTTTGAGGAATCTTCAAGTAAAATGTGTAGAAGGCTTGTAAGCTCTGACCTACGAAGTCAAGTTGAAGCTGAAATATTAACTACCATGTAGGATCCTCCTCCGTCTTCTCACTCCTCCTCACCCCTTTTTCCTCTGAAATTAGTAAGAACTGCCACACTGGGGCTGATTACAATGAAGCTGAGATTCATTGCTCAGCCCAGTTAAGCCGTTTTGTAGCGTAGTGAAAGACCACAGCAGCTGCCACTGAATAGCTTTAAGTTCCAACCTCACTAACCTCTTCCGTTTTCTAGCTCTCTGACCTTGGACAGGTTTCTTCTCTCGATCTCAGGGTTTTCGTTTTTAAATGATGACGATAATATCCACATAAGCCATGTTTCTAAACTGCCTACTAATTCCTGATGCACACCAGTAACTTGACACCTGTTAATTCCTTCTTCTGTTTTGTATGTTGTACATTTAAATTGCCCTTGATATTGAGGGATTAGAGTACAATGCAAGTGTGAAAAAGAAGCAATCTGGAGTTTCTTGCATGCATAAGTTGCATAGGCACCGGCAGTAATTGCAGGGCCGTGAAACAGGATAACCATCACAGCTCATAAATGGTGGTACATTTTAATCAGATTTTAGATGTTATGAAGGCTCCAAGTAATTACAGTTATTTTTGCCTTAAAATTGAACTGCCGTTATTAAAATGCTTTTATTAAATCTTTTTTTCCTTTGGTAGTTATGAAAGATTGTAGAATTTCTGAGTCAAATAACCGAGCACTAGATGTTGCATACATAAAAGTTCTTATGATTTAGGTGTAGGAAGGGTCCCAGACTCACTGCTAATGCTGGAGCCTGAAGAAGAAACAGTGGCTTTTCAGTCACCCCTGTTGGTTCTGGCTTATTCCTCATCACCTTTACTCTGAGATGTGCCTTATTTTCCCTTTATTGACCATCCTTATGTCTGTTTTCTCTAAGGCAGTTATCATTATTTTCATTTCCCAGATGAGAAGTTTCAGGATCAAATATGTTAGTTCATCCCAAACCATTCACCCATGGTGTGCTATTTGCTAGGTAATGTGCCAGGAGAGCACACAATCAGCGCAGGCTCACCTGGCCTGTAGGAAAGGGCAGATCCACGATAGGGGGCAGGTCCCCAAGTTCAGCACAGTGTTCCCTCTGTTACAATCTGCTGAAACATCGGGAAAGACTTAGGGCCCATTTCAGAGTCCAAACTGGATTATTACAAATCCTATTATTATTAATAATGATTATAATCATCCTGAAGATAGGGCTCTAAGATAATACAGATGGTCCAGGAGCATCCAGATAAACAAGACTGTCTGGGTCTCTGCCCTGGGACAGTGCATATCCTATCGGGGTAGCACATGACAGGCATAATAACAACAGCAATGTTGACTGGCTTCTGATATTTGGAGGCACCAAGCCAAGGTATTCCATGCATGCTGTGAAATCCTCCCAAAGCTTAATGCTGACTATAGTGTTACCCCATTTTACAGATGATGAAATGAGGGCTTCTGTGGCTTAGGTAACTCACTCTAGGCCATGCAGCTTGCAGCTGGGAATCAAGCCCACGTCTGTGTGCCCCAAAGTCTGTGATCTCAGTGAGGCACAGTTGTTCCTGGGAGGGAACTCCATCTTAACAGAATTACACACGAGCACAGATGTATCAGTGTACAGTGCCATCATGAACTGCGTATACTGCTTCTGCTTGTTTTTGCCGAAACCTCTATAACCTTCGCCTCGATTCATCAGGGTGACTGTGGGAGCCTTTTCATTTGGGAGGCTGCTGGGAGTCTAAGCTAGCACCGTTTGAACTAATTGTGTACAATTTAGCATTCCCCAAGCACTGACAGTCCTCATTCAAACCAAGTGTGAAAGTTTTTAAATTAGCTTTCACAGTTTGATTCACAAGCAGCAAATGCAAAACGGCACAGGATTAATTTTTCCAAGCACCACCACGATGGCATAGCTGAAGGCTATCTTAGCTTATTTTCTTTAACAGTAAGAGAAAGAGCTAGGCAGAGAGAGTGTTCTTAGGAGAATGATGTTCTAGAAGAGATCTCAGTGCTCTGGTTACAAAATGAATCAGATGTGCAAATTACAAAGTAGCAGCATGGAACAGTGTATGCAAAGAGCAAAGACTTTGGAATCTGATCATCTTGGGTTTGTAACTTGGTTCTGCCATTTACTGGTTATGTGGGTGGGGACCGGTTAATTATCTTTCTTGAGCCTCAGTTTGCCTTATTGTAAAATGGGGATAATATTTTCAAATGTCTGAAAGGTTTCTGGTGAGGATAAAATGATATACTCTAGGTAATGTGCTTACACAGTGGCTGGCACATCAGTGGATCTCAGTCAATCAGAGTGAGAGGTGACAGGGTGCTGGCAGCCCTCACAGCCCTTGCTCGCTCTGGGCGCCTCCTTGGCCTTGGCGCCCACTCTGGCCACACTTGAGGAGCCCTTCAGCCCGCTGATGCACTGTGGGAGCCGCTTTCTGGGCTGGCCAAGGCCAGAGCCAGCTCCCTCAGCTTTTGGGGAGGTGTGGATGGAGAGGCGTCGGTGGGAACCGGGGCTGCACACCGTGCTTGCGGGCCAGCGCGAGTTCTGGGTGGGCGTGGGCTCCGCGGACCCCACACTTGGAGCGGCCGGCCGGCCCCACCGGCCCCAGGCAGTGAGGGGCTTAGCACCTAGGCCAGCAGCTGCTGTGCTCAATTTCTCGCCGGGCCTTAGCTGCCTTCCCTCAGGGCAGGGCTCGGGACCTGCAGCCCGCCATGCCTGAGCCTCCCCCGACCTCCGTGGGCTCTTGTGCGGCGGAGCCTCCCCAATGAGCGCAGCCCCCTGCTCCATGGCGCCTAGTCCCATCGACCACCCAAGGGCTCAGGAGTGCGGGCGCACGGTGCGGGACTGGCAGGCAGCTCCACCTGTGGCCCTGGTGCAGGATCCACTGGGTGAAGCCAGCTGGGCTCCTGAGTCTGGTGGGAACTTGGAGAACCTCTATGTCTAGCTAAGGGATTGTAAATATACCAATCGGCGCTCTATATCTAGCTCAAGGTTTGTAAACACACCAATCAGCACCCTGTGTCTAGCTCAGGGTTTGTGAATGCACCAATTGACACTCTGTATCTAGCTACTCTGGTGGGGACTTGGAGAACCTTTATGTGGACACTCTGTATCTAGCTAATCTAGTGGGGACGTGGAGAACCTTTGTGTCTAGCTCAGGGATTGTAAATGCACCAATCAGCGCCCTGTCAAAACAGACCACTGGACTCTACCAATCAGCAGGATGTGGGTGGGGCCAGATAAGACAATAAAAGCAGGCTGCCCGAGCCAGCAGTGGCAACCCGCTCGGGTCCCCTTCTGAGCTGTGGAAGCTTTGTTCTTTCTCTCTTTGCAATAAACCTTGCTGCTGCTCACTCTTTGGGTCCACACTGCCTTTATGAGCTGTAATACTCACCGCAAAGGTCTGCAGCTTCACTCCTGAAGCCAGCGAGACCACGAACCCACCGCGAGGAACCAACAACTCCAGACACGCCTCCTTAAGAGCTGTAACGCTCACCGCGAAGGTCCGCAGCTTCACTCCTGAGCCAGCGAGACCACGAACCCACCATAAGGAAGAAACTCTGAACACATCCGAACATCAGAAGGAACAAACTCCGGACAGGCCACCTTTAAGAACTGTAACACTCACTGCCAGGGTCCGCGTCTTCATTCTTGAAGTCAGTGAGACCAAGAACCCACCAATTTTGGACACAAGAGCACTTATTAGTATGATCATCCTTGAATTGCTTTCCTGCAAATAATATTCCTGTCTTAGATAGGGAGTTGTTGCTTATTGCTTTTATTTTTTTGTTTTTCCCTTAGCAAGCGTTTATTGAGCATCCACTATTTGCCAAGTGCTATGCTTTTGGCAAATGCACTAGGGATAAAGAAATAACAAAATATGAACCCTTCCATGAAGAAACTCAGCACAGAGGCAGACACATAAAAACATTCTTATAATACAGCATAGTAGCTGCAGGGAGCAGAGTGTACAGTGAAGGAACTTTTGAGCTGACATGGAGGGAATGATAATAGAAGATCCTGTGGAGAAAAGACTCAAAGGATACATAGGGATCAGCCAGGTGAGAAGGGTTGGAAGGAAGTTCCAGGCAGAGGAAATGGTCTCCCACAAAGGCAAAAAGGTGAGAAGGAACAAGGTTCATTTTGAGAACTTCTGAGTTGTTCTGAAAGGTTGGAGCAAACTATGTATAAGTCAGTAACTTAACCCTGTCTCAATTTCCTCCATTGGCATAATAATAGTACCTATCCCAAAGGGCTGTGTTCAGGATGAAATATGGTAAGTCATGGAATACACTTAGGATAATGCCTGGCATAAGGTACCAGACAATGTTGGCAATTAACATCACCTAATGTTGAACAGTGACAGATGGCATCACCTAGGAGCTTCTCAGTGCTTTCACTGTACAGCGTGCTGTCTATAGCATCAAAAGGAGGTTCTTACACGTAGCATTCCCTGAACCTGTTTGACCATTAGATGAGTGGAGAACACTTCTTTTTAGTGAACTGTTGGTAATAATCTTTTTCGGGGGACCTGTGTACTCTTAATGTTTGGGAAATGCTGTGAATACAGCAGACGAGATCAGTTTTTTGTTCTAAAAGAGTTTAAATTGAGAGTCTAACAGCTCAAAAAAAGAAAGAGAAAAAAAATCAAAAGAGTTTTCTCTCTCTGTTTTTGAAGGACCCTTTGTTTCATACACACACATACACTCCAATCCTGGGTATTTGAATAAAAACCCAAATTCAGGGGGTTAGAAATTGAAGGGTTAAAAGGAATGTCCCTTTGCTTATTTAAATTAGTTTCTGATATTCCTGTCTAATGAATCATTTTATTGACAGGTGTTTATAGGCATAGGGTAGGCAAATGAAAAATTCACAGTGCACAGAAGTGAGTCCTGTGATTTGTTTGCTGAGTGTTAAAACTAAGGTTTGGTGCTAGATAATCTCCCAGCTTCTTCCCAGCTGTGTGATAGAGAATGAACCTGGCAGACTGGGTCAGATTTGAAGGTAGGAAGAATCAGGGTCCAAATCTCCATTTGGATGTAGGGAACCCTAGATTAGAGATGGCACATGGGGGTTAAGAGCATAGATTTTGAGATTGGACTGCCTACCCCAGAACCTGCCCTGCCATTTACCAGCCATGTAGCCTTGATAAGTGATGATTTCTTTGGGTTCCAATGTCCTCGTCTGTAAAATGGGACCAACGGGCACCTCATGCTGCTGCTCTTAGAACAGCACCTGGGCACAATAAGGGCTGTGTAAGTGCTGGCTGCCAGTCAAAACCCAGCTCTTATACTTCTTGGGCAAATAAATTAGCTCTCTTGAGCCTTCCTTCCCTGGGATCATTGTGCCTGTCATCCACAAGTGGTGGAAAGATTAAAAGAGGTAAAGTGAGTGTTCAGTGTGGGACTTGTGCAGGAGGGCCCTTCTTGTAGTTCAGAGCCCAGGTGCTGGCATCAGATGGTGCTGTTTACCAGCAATGAAAACTTCTGCACCCATTAAAACTCCGTACTTCGGCTTCCTCAGAGTACACACACCTAGGCTGGTTGGTGGTGAGCAATAAATGACACAGTGTGTGCTTCAACACTTTGAGGCCAGGCACAAGACTGATACTCAATAAATGTTACCTATTGTTAGACACTGACCTGGGCTAGCCAGATATACCTTGCACACTGCATCCGCCAAAGGAATTGAAGCAAATGTAGACTGTGTCTCCACATAGCCTAGCAAATGGTTACAGTGACTGCGTTTCCACGGTGGCTGCACAAATCAATACAGATGGCTGCCCGATCAATTCAAGTACAGCATATCTGATAGACAGACTTTATAGGCCATGACACACCAATGCAGAGGTTTTCCCAAGCCATGCAGTGGAATGGATTTTCACTGTCTTCTCCTCATTAGATCCAGAGTGCATATTTTCCAACACAGAACACATGCAAATTGATGACAGGCTTTTAAATGTAATCAAGAAGAATGAACTTGTGTACAGGCATTAATTTGCCTTAGTTCTGTATTAGGATTTCCAGAGTTCAGTGATCTGCATTTTTGTTTGGTGTTTTCTCTTTCTGTAGAAGAGTTTAAGTCAACTAAATGGTGTTACCTCTCCTTCCCACTTGCAAATGAATCAGATGAGGGTAAGCCTGCCGTAATGCCTTCTTTGTAAAACCCCTTCTAGTTGGGGTAACTTGAAGAGCATCGAGATTTTGCTTCTGCTCCCTGGCATCTTCCAAACAGGTTTGAGTGACCAGCATCAGAAATGCTCATTACAGGATGAATCCTTTGAATGAATCGAAACCATCCTAGATTCTGCTAGTCTCTGCTATCTCCACAAACCTCCCGAGCTCTACCTCCCTGGCGATGACTTGAAAATTAATTAAGTGATGCTTCAGAGTAACATATCTATTGCTGAAACATTAGAACCTTTTGTTGATGCTTAAGTTTTCAGTACTAAGTGTCATTTTGTCATAACTATATTGTGAAGGCAACTACATGGGACCATATATTAATTTTTAAATTCAACCCGTATTTCTAATTATAATCCTTGAAAGCATTTAATATGGTAGTGTGCACATAGTGTGTGTTCAGCAAATACTGGTTGGATTTTGATTAAAAGGTGACTTTTTAAAATGAGACTGTTAGGACCTTAAACATACCAGCTCAATTAATGTGTCAGCCTGAAATCATTGGTCTGTAATCACTTCTTATTTCCACTTTACATTCTTAAGTGTACACTTAGAAATAGCAATTTAGTGATAGGAATGTAACAGACTGCTTTGTTAAAGGCTTTGAAAACAATGTATTAAACGTTTAAAGAAAGAAGCCGGCCAGGCACAGTGCTCACGCCTGTAATCCCAGCCCTTTGGGAGGCCAAGGCGTGTGGATCACGAGGTCAGGAGATCGAGACCATCCTGGCTAACACAGTGAAACCCCATCTCTACTAAAAATACAAAAAAATTAGCTGGGCTTGGTGGCGGGCGCCTGTAGTCCCAGCTGCTCGGGAGGCCGAGGCAGGAGAATGGCATGAACCCAAGAGGCGGAGCTTGCCGTGAGCAGAGATCGCGCCACTGCCCTCCAGCCTGGGCGACAGAGCGAGACTCTGTCTCGAAAAAAAAAAATAATAATTAATTAAAAAAAAAAAAGAAAGAAGCCGTATTTTTTTCCTAAGTCAGTAAGAAGGAAGTGAGCAGTAACATTACAGTAACAGACATGTCCTGAGTGGGAACTGCATGTCAGGCTTTGATATACACCTTCTCACATCCGATCTTCATTCAAGAGTGAACTCTTCCTTATCCCTATTTTACAGAGGAGGGAGCAAAGGCTTAAAAAAGGTAAGTAACTTAGCCTTTCGGACTTATAGCTTCTAAATATTTAGCACTTACAAAGTTCTTACACATACATTACTTCATTTGTTCCTCTCAGTAAACTCACAAAGTAGGAATTCTTGGTAACCTTATAGTTGAGACAACAGAGCCAAGATGACTTGGGGCCCCTGATCCTGTCAGGGCAGGGCCATGACTAGTACACAAGACTGTGGTTTTCAAAGACTATAGTTTTTCCATTATCACATCCTGAACAATGATTGCATGAAGAGTTATGAACTTCATGGGGCTCCAACTTACTGCCCAGTACTAAGCAGAAATAGATACTACATATGGGTTTTGCAACATCCATTTGCTTCTAAAAGGTTATATTTGATATCAGCTTATTTCTACATTTTGAACAGAAACTTGCATAAAAATAGCCTTATATCCTTGGGTTCAGTCTACCAGATAGATATTGAGAATGACCACTGCAAAAGAAGGACAAATGCCTATTATTTTTTAATACATATATGCACAGCTACCATCTAAAATGAGGTAGCTCAACATAATAAGGGATCTCTGTGTTCCTTATTATGTTAAGGATTTAGGTTTTTCAGGGAAAACTCTGTCTTTCCAGGAAGCAGAGAAGGGGAATGGAGAAGGAAGGTAAAGAGAGAATAAGAAAGCATGAGGTTGGGTGCGGTGGCTCACTCCTGTCATCCCAGCACTTTGGGTGGGTGAGGTGGGCAGATCTCTTGAGCCCAGGAGTTCGAGACCAGCCTGGGCAACACGGCAAAACCTCATCTCTACTAAAAATGCAAAAATTAGCCAGGTGTGGTGGTGTGTGCCTATAGTCCCAGCTACTCTGGAGGCTGAGGTGGAAGAGTCACCTGAAACTGGGAAGTTGAGGCTGCAGTGAATTGTGATTGTACCACTGCATTCCATCCTGGGCAACCAGAGTGAAACCTTGTCTCAGAAGAAGAAGAAGAAGGAGGAGGAGGAGGAGGGAGAAAAGAGAGAGAAGAGAGTGAGGAAGAGAGAGAGAAAAAAGGAGGAAGCAAGGAAGGAGGGAAGGGAAGGGAAGGGAAGGGAAGGGAGGGGAGGGGAGGGAAGGGAAAGGGAAAGGGAAAAGGAAAGGGAGAGACCTTGGTGTCCTGGAACTTTCTAGTGGAATACAGGTGCCACTGGCCTGTTGCCGATGAGCAGGGAAGCCCCAGCAGTGGGAGGATGCACTTCATCCTTTCTTCATTCACTCACTGGCACAAATATTCATAAGTGCTTGCTCTCTCACCAGGCGCCGCTCTTCTAGGTGCTGAAGATACAGCAGTAAACCAACCAGATTCTGCCATCATGGGATTACACAAAATAAATGTGTAAATTACAGGGTACATTATAAAGTGTTCAGGAAAAAAAACATAGGAGAGACACTGAGAGTACAGAGAGTGGGGTTTGTAATTTTAAATAGGGAAACTGAGGAAGGCTTCCCTAAGACAGTGGCATTTGAGCAAAGGCTCCAAGGAGGCTGCAGGAGTCTTCTCTTGTGATCCCTGGGGCAGAGAGAACAGCAGATGCAAAGGCAGGGGTGAGCCCTGTGTGTTTGAAGGATGGTGAAGAGGCAGGTGTGCCTGGAACAGGGCAAGGGATACCAAGAGTGGTGGTCAGAGAAATAAAGGGGATAAGGTGGGAAGTTCATAGAGAGCTTTATAATATCATAAAAGAATCTGGGTTCTATTTTGAAAATAAATTTTAGGAAAGTTCGAGCAGGAGCAGAGACTGCAGCCAGAAAGCTGTTACAGTAGTCCATGAGAAAGGGGATGGTGGCTTGCAGGAGGCTTTAGCTGTGTGGTTGATGAGAGGTTTGGATTCTAGGTAGAGACATTCAAGTGCTATTGATATTCAAATGCTTAGGTGCCAGACACTGAGACCCAGGACACTGAACAGTTGAAGAATCAGTGTCACTGATTGGATAACACACTCTCTGTTTGTGAGTACTACCTAGAGGAGCTGATGTTGGGGAGGGAGAGGCAATACTGTGTAGAAGGAGGTTGCCTTTAGAGTTCCAATCCTGCCGTGTCACATGCTGGGAGGGCGACCTTGAGCAGACTCATTTAGCCTTGAGTCTATTTCCTTATCTGTAAAATGGGAAAGTGACATCTATTTGGATACTTACAACACATATAAATAACAAATACAGATTGCTTAGGACAATTACTGTAATCAACAGGGTAGACATAGAGGGGTAACATCTGGATTCTTGTAAGGGGCAGAATAATGTTATGGTTAAGAGCCCAGACTCAAAAGCCACACCTCCTGCATGACCATGGACAAATTACTTAAATCCTGCATGCTTAATTTGTAAAAAGGAAACGGTGATAAGCACCTACCTACTAGAGCTGTTGTGTAGATTAACTGAGTTTGTTTGCAAGCTTGTAGAATGATGCCTGACACACAGGAATCAAAACTCCTTCCTAGTGTTGCTGTGAGTTCCAAAGAAGTTGTTCAGAATCTCCTGGTAACATTAGCATACTTGGGCTGCATTATACCTATTTCTAATGCATTTCTTATTTCAGTGTTTTCTGAATCCAAATTTTGCCTAAATTGCCCAACAATGTCAGTTAAACCAAATCCTTTTATTTGGTTCTCTGTTTATTCATCCTATGCAATCAGAGTGTCATTTTAATTTCTTCTTGGATTAGTCGTGTTTACCAACAGCACTGGAAATACATTCCAGCCTTCAGAAAGAAAACGACAAGAGCTATAACAAGGTATTAGAGGTTGTGTAAACTTGTCTTACTTGAAGTTAATGCGAAAAATGTGGAGAAAAAAATAACAAGGGGAAATTTCGAAAATTGGGCAATGATGTTTAACCAAAATGACATGTGCATCTCTGAATGTAAATGCACAACTGCGTTAATGCCATGCCGGCTGCCTGCCATCCTGAGGTTTTATCACATCATAATGCAGTGATGAGGTATTTCTTTGCTTTTTTGGTTTTTCTACTTGCAGATGCCAACAATGATTATTTGTAATTTCAGAAATAAAGATGCTCAAAAGCAACATCTGTGGTTCCATATTTTTCTGTGGGATTCAAAATGCATGTCTTATTCCTATTTGTAACCAGGGAATATTTGCAGTCAAACATAATTCCTGTGTACTTGATTTAGTTCTGGGCCAGATTGACTAAAAGGTTTTAAAATGGTGCCCATGCTTTTGGTATCTACACTATGTGGATTCTCGACCTTTTAATCCTCATTTTCGTTAATACAAATAAAAGAGAGTTTATCAGTTGATTCAGATGAGCAGGGGTATGCCATGTAAATTTCAAGGAATTATGCACTAAATTACAGGACCCATTTGGGGGCTTAAATATTATTCTCCACTACACAAAACTGGCATGGATTTTATTTTAACTGAAATGGCACACAGTGGCAGGCAATTATTTTTGTTATTGTATTTCCTATCGTGGCCTCCAGAATCTAAGGACAATGAAAGGGGATGTTCATTTATAATTTGACCTCCTGAATTGTTCTTGAAATGCAATTTAATCCTCATATCAAGCAAAATCTAATGCTGTATTTGCCAGTAAAATAGTCATTTGCATTTTTTATTGACAATACAAATTGTGTTTAATCAGGCAGTCAGCATGTTAGCATTTCCAAATGATTGAAGACCCATTTTTGTTCAACTATGTCCCATTTTGGGTCAAATGTATTTTGCTTTTTTTAATGATCGGGGCACGTAAAGTTGCTCTTTAACACTGTGCCTTAAAAAAAAAATGTCCAGATCTCACATAGCTGTATTTTCCTGTCTCCAGAAGAAAGCCAGGAAACTCTTAAATTCTTAAATTCACACACTTAACAGATGTTAGCCCAGCTTAGAAGAACAATTAGAATGTGTTGCTACTAACTTATTTTATTGTTGAAAGGACCGCAGTGGGGTGGACATAGCTCTGAACCAGAAATCAAAAGGCTATGGTTTGATTATTATTCCCAGAAAGAAATGAAAGGTTAGTTCTCTGGTTTCTAGCTATGGGATACCTCACTTCTCTGGGCCTCAGTTTCCTTATTTAAACAGGAAGGACAACAATGTTCTTTAACTTTCTCTAGGATGTTCATGAAGCTTTATCCTGTGAGAGGTACTGTTGAAGCCCAGCTCTACTATTACTAGCCAGATGACCTTAGGCAGGTTCACCCATCCCTGCCTCAGTTTCCTCATCTGTATGGTGGAGACAATAATAGTGCTTACTTCACAGGATTGTTGTGAGTAGGAGTTACCATACGTAAAGCTTAAAACAATGCTTATCGTATGGAAAGTGCTGTTTATGTTTGTAATTATGTCATCGACATTATTCTTATTAATAGCGCCTTCCTCACAGGGTTGTTGTGTGGACTAAATCAATTTATATTTGTAAAGTACTTACAATAAACCCTAACATGTCGTAAGGTACAAGCATTTGCTATTGTGATTATTATCAGTTAACTACCATTTATTAAGTGCTCACTGCCTGTAAGACGTTATATCAGGAATCCTCACTGCCACTTGTGAGGGGAGAGTTACTAGCTTCATTTTTCTCTAAGCTTCACATACAGAAAAAGGCTCCAAGTCATAAAGCCACTGTCCCAAGGGAACATGCTGAGTGCATGGCAGAGTCAGGACTTGAACCCAGGGCAGCCTGACCCCAAGGGGGATGCCCTTTAATGCCTGTGCTTCCTTAGTCCTCTGTTCAGGCCTGAGTCCTGAGCTTGGAGTCCACTTTAGATGAAGTCCTCCGTGAGCATTACAGGCCTTTTCCTGCCACACAGTCTTAGCCTGGCCTCCATATTCATCATGGTGAACTTGGCTGGGCCTTACTTCCCCACTTATACGCATTGAGACTGCTTGTACTTGGCCTGGTTTCCTTTACTGAGAGAGAATGGGAGTCCAAGGCTGGGGGTCTATTTTGGTTTCCCTTTCCCCCAAATACCTGCTTCAATTGTACCACTTCCTTTACTACCTCCTCCAACCCTTGTCTCTGTCCCGTTATTCCTAATACAATGTGCATTGCCAACATAAGGTGTTAGGGTAATGATGATGACAGTGATGGATTCTAGTTTGATTTGGAGTAGACGTTCACTTATAATGGTAAATATCAAATTTGTTTAGATTTGTCCACATAGACACAGATTATAATAAGAACAAACATTTATTGAGAGTTTAATATGTGCCAGAGCTGTTCTAAGCAGTTAATAGATATTACTTTATTTTATCCTCACAGCAACTCTATGCAGTAGATACTAACACTGTCTGCAATCTACAGATAAATCAACAGACCATAGTCTGTAGGGAGCTGGAGTGGCTTTGAGAGGAGCAGAACTGGCTGATCCCTGAGAATTTAATTCCACTCATTTCTTCTTATCTTTGTCAATTGGTTGGTTACACACAATTTGCCTAGCACTGTGCTATTGCAAGCAATGCAAGCGAGGTGGAGAAATAAGAATAGGAAGGAACAAGCATGTGTGGGGCATTTAATGTGCCCAGCATGGGGCTACATCCTTTATATATGTTATCACATGTCCTATTGACAGCAACCCTGTAAGATAAGTGTGCCCATTCTCCTGTCGGAGATGAGGATGCTGAGAAACTGAGCCGTTAAGTGAGTTGCTTTACCTTAAATTGTTACATGGCAAAGCTGGGATTTGAACCTAGGTGTGAAGCTTTTTCTTGGGTTTAATCTCCTCCCTCTTTCCTTCTCCTCTAACTTTAGGACAATGGTGGTAAACAAAACAGGCAAAGTTCCTGCCTCTAAGAGGCTTACATTCCAGCCAGAATCAATCAATAAATAAACAGATGAACAAATGAGCAGATCATTACAGATGTGCGGGACATCAGTAGGGGAAGTGAGAGAGAACTCCTGGTCTAGGAAGCAAGTCCATTACTAGTGTACTTGGGGATGACCTCTCATTACCCCTAGGATCTACGGGATGGGAAAGAAACAGCCACGCAAAGAGCAAAGCGAAGAGAGTTTCAACAGATAAGACAGCAAGTAGACAGAACAGATGCCTTGGAGCAGAAGACGGTGTGGGATGTTTGAGGAACAGAAAGGAAGGCCATGTGGCTGGTGGGAGGCAGACAGGTCAGATTAAACAGAGCATTGCAGAACAGGGTAAGAAGTCTGGACTTTACTCCAACTTCCATAAAATGAATGAAATTGGCCATGTGACCTTGAACAATCCCTTTCTAGCCTCAGTCTCCATTTTTTTAAATCTATTGGGCATGGGTAAGAAGCCCTGCCTCATGTACATTTCAGAGATTGTTTAAATATCAAATCTGGAGACTTTCTGGTCACAGAGAAAGATGGCTAATTTACCTGATACATTTATCTGTATAAAAGTGGAGTCATTGGAAGACTGATTGTAGAAGAAAGGAAGCTGAACCTTGGGGTTTCTGAAGGTTAAGTCTCTCATTGATTGGTAGTAATAATAGTAATAAGAGTAAATATTCCATAAATGATTACTCTACCGAAACTAAACTAAGCTCTTTAAATGCATTATCATTCTATCCTCAGAAAACTAGAAAGGTAACAGACACTGTTATTACCTCATTTTGACAGTTGAGAGACTGAGGCATAGTGAGGATGGGTCTCTATCCATGTGTTTGGTTATGAATAACAGAGACCTCAATGAGTGGCCTGAACAAGCAAGATGTTTATTTTTATTATATAAAAAAGACTCCCAGCTGGGCATTGTGGCTTATGCCTGTAATCCCAGCACTTTGGGAGGCCAAGGCGGGCAGATTACTTGAGGTCAGGAGTTCAAGACCCACCTGGCCAACACGGTGAAACCCTGTCTCTACTAAAAATACAAAAATTAGCCAGGCATGGTGGTGTGGGCCTGTAGTCCCAGCTACTCAGGAGGCTGAGGCCCGAGAATCACTTGAACCTGGGAGGCAGAGGTTGTAGTGAGTCGAGATTGCACTAACTCCGGCTAGGCTGGGCAATAGAGCAAGACTCCGTCTTTAAAAAACAAACAAACAAGCAAACAAAAAACTCTTAGAGTAAGAGCAAGCTAGTGCTGATAAAGCTGCTCAAGAAAGTCATCAAGAACCCAAGATTCCTCTGCCTTTCTGCTACCTCGTCTTTAATGTGTAGTGTTTGTTCTTTATGAGCTCAAAGTGGCTGCTGTAGCTCCAGTTTTCTCATCTCAGTGCCAAGTCAAAAGGAAGTGCAAGAGACAAAAGAAGAAGAGCAATTGTGGGAAGGGTAAAAGGCTTTAACTTTTGAGAATTTGTCTTTTAAAGGAAGAAAGCCTTTCTCAGGAATGTTCATCTGTATCTTCTTTGCCTCCAACTGGGGCACATGACCAACCCTAGCTAAATGGGAAGCAGGATTCCAGTATTTCACTTTCTAGTCTCTATAGAAGGCAAAGGTTAAAGAGAAGGGTGTCAGGAGAGATGTTGAGTGAGCTAGGCTACAGAATTTTTTCCACTCACACAACTTGTAAATGGTGAAGCCATGTGTTTCAACCCAGTCTTTTTGACTCCAGAAGTCATACTCTTAACCATGGTGCCATACTGCCTCCTTATTGGGCAGAGGCTAGAGAATCTTAGACAAGTTTTTAAGCCTCTCTATGCCAATTTATAAATTTGTAACATAGGAATAATAAGAGTATTTAATAAGGTTACCGGGAGGGTAAAACATGAGAGCCCTCATGAAACAATTACCACAGTGTCTTTGGCATATGGTAAGTGCACACCAATTGCATGTTAGCTGTTCTTACAGTTAAATTGTTATTGTTCTTATCGTTAGCAGACAGTTTCTTTGCTAGCATTTGTGGATACAGAGAGTCAAAAAAAATACAATATAGCATTTACTTTTTAGGTGCTTACTTGTTCAGACTTATTCCTAATTTACAATGTTAAGTTCAGTGATGGAGCAAGGGGCAGCAGTGGTATAGAAAAAGGAGGATCAAGGTACTTTGGTATGAACTGGAAGAGATAGGCAAGGGTGTCAGGGTCAGGGAAGGAAGGATGGTATTTACAGAGAAATGATGCTGTTTAGGTGGCTCTACAGAGATGAGACAGTTCACCAGGAAGAGGAGAGGGAAGGGTATTCCTGACAGAGGGAACAATATATGCTAAGCAGGGGTCAAGCTGCCGAGGGTTCACACTGTACTGCCTGCTGGGAGCTGCAAGCATTTCCAACAGTCTGGACCATAGTGTGGAGCTCCAGACCAGCTAAATAGACATGAGCAAGATTTCCTGAGTGCCTCCTTTATGCCAGGCACTGCGTGGGGCACCGGGGACACAATGAGGAGTGACATACAACCCCTGCTCTCAAGAAGCACATCACGTCGACACTGTTTTCTCGTTTGCCAGATGGGAAAATGCAAGAATCCTAAATTTTATTTACCATCTCCTCTATGCTACATTCAGGGCTTGATGCTTTGTGGACATTGTCTCATTGCACTTCAAGGTCATTATTATTCTCTCCCTCTTGCAGGTGAGGAAACCGAGGCTCAGTAAGATTAAAGGAGTTATCCAAGGTTACCCAGCTAGTAAATGATACAGCAAGGATTCAGACCAGGTTTCTGTGACTCCACAACCTGTGTGTTCTGCTGCATGGCTTCCAGGAGCCTGGGTACGACACACATCTGCACCACCCTAGTGGTAAAATGAAACAATATCTGAGAGCACTTCAGAGCCAAATGCAATATTAACACTACGTCCCTGGAGTTATTTATTTATTTATTTATGAAGAACAAGGAAAGCCCCTCCTTTACTACCACAGTAAATCTCCAGTAGCTTGTCAATTCCTTCTCAGACAGGCTGATTAGCTGGAGTGCAGCTGTCCAGGTTGCTTAAGTGAAGGAAGATGACTTGATTGTAGTTCAATGCCTTAGCTGTCACTGAACTGCATTCCTAAATATGATCCTTATTGCCCTGCTAACCCCTCTATAAACAGCACTGCAGTGAAAGCATAAAACATTAAAAACATCCCCTGGTTGACTGCTATTGCCTTTTGAATTAGCACCAGAAATACTCATTTGAGGGATGTGGTTTAACTCAAGCAATATTTCTTGATGGGTTAATGAATATCATATGTTATACTTTAGCTTAATACAACATCATCAATTATTCAATTATTTTTATTGATTGACCTCTTCCAGATTATTTGATAGTAGATTTTTCACTATTCAGAAAGTTAAATGCTGAGCAGTCAGGAATCTTCCTCTGCAGTTCTGAGTGTCTTCTGAGCTGTGACCCAACTTGCAAATATAGAGGTGTATATGTATCTATGGGTATGTTTTTGTTTTGTGGGTTTTTTTTTTTTTTTTTTTTGGAAGAGACAAATTGCAGACCATCCTGGAACATTCTGGAATTAATGAACATGATGCATCAATAGCCTTGCTAAATCAAGACATAACAAAGAATTGAGCTGCTGATGACACTGAAGAAAGGTTTCAAAGACACAGATGATCAAGCCCACATAATTAGAATTACTGTTTAGATATGCAAAAAAACCGGAAAGGCAACACTGGAAAGGGAGAATGGGTTGCAAAACTAGCGCCAATATAAAGTACGAGTAATGGCCAATAAAAGCATATCTACCAATGACTTTGTAACTAAGAGAAAGTAATATGGGATTGTGTCCATTTAGCTCATGTCATGGGACACAGTACGGAGTTCTCAAGGGCTTCTCATGGGCTTTGGAGGGAGGAAGGAGGATGAGGCTGGAAAGCAGGCTGCCTGGGATCCGCTCCTCTTGCGGCACTAATTAGTTTTGTGACCTTGGGATTAATTGGCCTGCTAAGCCAAATCCCTTGACCAGGGTTCAGCACTCATTGTGCTGGACTCCAGCTGCTTTGGGGGCCATTGTTGTAGGCTGTGTGAGGATTGTGGAATGAATGTAGCATGTGAATTATAGAGTTATAGAAATGGGAATGACAGGTATTTTCTAATGCAGGAAGATCAGGCTGGGATTTTTTCTTAAAGTGCTGTCAACATTAATAATTTTTCCTAAGGCCCTCATTTCATGTCACCATGTTAGCACTGTCTGTAGATTAATACTACTACGAATAATTTTATTAATAATAGACAGAATTTATCTAATGACTGGTAATTTGCTAAGTAATGGTCAGATATATGATTTTATCCCTCACATGCCACATGGGCAGATGTTATTTCAGGCAGGTGCCCAAACTCAAAAGTTTTTTGCCAGTAATTTTAAGTCAGTGAGAAACAGAAATTCTGTCTTGGCTATCAGCTGTGCAAAGTGGTGATATAGAGAAAGGACAGTTAGTCAAAAGACCTAGAATTGAATCATGGCATGGCACTTCCCATTATTAGTTTTGTGACCTTCTTCAAATCACTTAAACTTTATGCAGGTCTTACTGTCCATAGTTTTAGAATGTTTGAAGTAAATGTGACCAAGGCAATGACATGGACACACAATTTAATAAGGTATATAAAACGTGCTTCCCTACTGCAAAATACAGTGCGTATGTGTGGGGTGTTTCCATCCTCGGAGGATCAAGTACCTGTTAGCTAGGAAACCACAGTCTACCTCCAGAGTGGGCATCTCTCATCCATCCTGGCATTCTTTTCCATGAGCTCATGTGTGGTCTCAGGGTTCTTTGAGTATAGCACCCCACGTGGTCTTTACCAGTTGGTCAAATGTGGCAAGCGAGATGAAAACTCATGCCATCCCAACGCTGGCACAGAGGTTGGACTCAAGATCTGCCGCTAGCCATTCTCCTTACAGGTAGGCTTTTCTCTTTGCCTCTAATTCCTGGGATCTGACCCAGAAAACTCACAGACCTACCCACCTCTCAGAAGCTAGGTGGATTTGCTTTATGCTACTAGCTAGGTGGCAGCTGCGAGAAATGTCACCCTGCAGGATGCAACAGCCATCATGGGTAGCAAACAACCTGGTAAGGCAAAGGGAGTGTATTTTTAAACCTAATCTACTCAGTAGCATTTGCTCTGTAATGGTTAGATTCCTCCCCCAGAAAATGACTTTCTGGGGTTCTTAGAGATCCTAATTTAAAAACTATCACTGAAGGTTATTTTTAAACATCATAAAGGTATCTGAGACCTGAATTTCAGGTCAATCATATCTCCATGTTTGTAGGGGTATTTTTTGTTGTTGTTTTTTCCACTTGTAAATCTCTCAAGCTTTTAGGAAAAGTAACTCTGGCAAAGGAATTGATTTGGCCGCTCAAATCTCAAGAGGCCACCGTTGAGCTACCCAGCCCATATGACAGGAATCCTTTCCTTCTTGTTTTGGTTAAGTTTCCTGGCAAGCATTGCTTAATAGGATTTGTTTTAGCATTTAAATTTCCCCTCTCCTGCCAAGACACAGGAGGTGTTTTGACACATGGTATCATTTTGGTGATCTCTTAACCTCTTTTTTTCCTGACATCTACCATGGCAGAGCTAACCATTTTGGGGTGATTGGTTGCCAGGTTTGGCAGCAGTTCTGAAGAGGCCCCATCTGCCGTCCGGAGGATTGGCAGATTGTTTTCTTGCAGGTCACATAGAGAGGAATTCACACACTCGGGAAAATTATCAACAAACTCTTCCATGAAAGGCACCTGGTGCTGCAGAACGGTGGTGTGTGCAGTAAATCTGGTAGAGACTGGTGCGCATCTCTCTCTTCTCTGACAGCCCATCTTCCAGATTATCTCAGCACTTCTCCCAGTGGGATCCTGGGCCTGTAGTCTCATGTGGTGTTTCACGTAAAGAGGGCTCTGTGTGTAGGCCAGGCATTGTAGCTCACGCCTGCAATCCTAGCACTTTAGAAGGCTGAGGTAAGAGGATCACGTGAGGCCAGGAGTACAAGACCAGCCTGGGGAACATAGTAAGACCCCCATCACTACAAAAAATAAAAAAAATTAGCCAAGTGTGAGGTCACACGCCTGTAGTCCCAGATACTCAGGGGGCTGATGCCAGAGAATCACTTGAGCCTGGGAGGTTGAGGCTGCGATGAACCAAGATTGTGCCACTGCACTCCAATCCAGGCAACAGAGTGCAAACCTGTCTCAAAAAATAAATAAATAAATAAATAATAGTGCTCTGTGTATGAAAACACTGAACAGCACTGTGGGTTTGTGTACCCCTAGATTCCTGTGTTGAAGCCCTAAGCCCCCAGTGTGATGGTATTTGGAGGCAGGGACATTGGGAGGTGATGAGGATTCGATGAGGTCTGAGGATGGTACTCTCATGATGGGATTAGTGGCCATATAAGAAAAGAAAGAGAGACTGGAGCTCCCTCTTTACAATGTGAGGATACCGGAAGAAAGTGACTGTCCACAGCCATGAAAAAGACCCTCATCAGGAACTAAATCTGCTGGTGCCTTGCTCTTGGACTTCTTAGCCTCCAGCTGTTAAGAAATAAATTTCTGTTGTTTAAGCCACCCAGTCTATGGTATTTTGTTATGGCAGCACAAGCTGAAAAGACGCAGCCTACTCTGTCTTCCTCTTGGAGAGTCATAGGGCTGTGTGTGGTCACATTAAAGGCTCTGAGAAATCCTGCAGTGGAGAGGGTGTTTAATACCCTCTTTCAGTCACCTGTCCGTAGAATCAATTTTCAAAGTACCTCCATAGACTAGTTTTCTGCAAATGTTACTTTGGGAAAAGCTGGATTAAGTCATGGTTTGCCCTCTTTTGCTTCCTGCTGTCTTTAGAATTTATGTCTGGGTCAGGCAGAGCATGAGCATTTCATCTGATCCAAAGGTTGAATGTTTCTAAGTGCATTTCCAGGGATGATTTGAGGGATGCGAACAAGGTGGACTGAGGTTGAATATAAAAGGAAATTATGGAAAGATCTGGAGCAGTCACCTTATGGTGTAGCTTTAAGTATCCCCAAATATTTCATTGCTAGACTGTGAGCTCCTTGAGGGCAGGGAGTACCCCCTTTTCATCGTGTCTATGCCTAGCAAAAGTGTAGAACTCGGAGAAATCCCTAGTAAATGCTTGTTGGATAAATGAAATCATTTGCGGGTGATTTCTTTAATGCTGGAAAGAAGTCAAGCAATTACTTAGTCGAATTCATTTGTGAAACAAGGAAACCAAGATTCAGAGAGAAAGAGTGTCTGTGAGCTCATGAAATGGACCTGAGGTTACAGATCTGAAAATGAATGATGAGATACAATCAGTTCTTGATTTCGTGAATTGTTCTAGAGAAGGAATGTGTTCTGTGTGGGAATGGGAAGGTGAGGGAAGCCAAAAACATTTTAAACTTCATGGAGTTTGCTCTTTGGCCTGGTTTACCTTTAATAATTCACTTAAACAACTGTTATCACCTACTTACAATGACTGGCTTCACTCCAGAGCTGGAGGAGGAGAAGTGATAAAAAAGACACAGTCTGCATCCTTCAGGAGCTCACAGTCTAGTAAATAGTGAAATATGTAAAAACATCAGTTATAATATGTAAACAAGTAGATGTATAAACATCCAGTTATAATAATAGCACCTGCTCTGTACCAAGCACCGCATTAGGTACTTTATACACAGTGGTTCATTTAGTCCTCACACCAAAGCACACTTTTATCCCTTTGGTAAGGTGGAGAAACCAAAGTTCAGAAAAGTTAAGCAATGTGCTCCAAGTGTTGGGGCTGAGTTTTGACCCCCACCCTGTTTCGTCCTCTGCCCCATTGTGTAAAGCATGCTTACCAACACCGATGACCACTTTTGAGGCTAACTCGGGCTAAGAGCCCAGAACAGGGGGCAGGTGATTTGTTCTGGGAGCTCAGAAATGTGTACAGAGATGTGCCAAGGGAATGGGAGCTGCTCTTTCTCCCTCTGGTCTGTCTGCCTTCTGCTCCAGGCTGGCCTGAAAGGAACTTGGAAGTGAAGTGCAGGGAAGTCACAGTCTCTACCCAGTGGCTTCATTGCAAAGTAAAAGCAAAAATCAAAGAAGACTGAAATGGGCAGGCTCCAGCATCTACAGGATACATGTGGCTTATTTGGAGGTCAAAACAAACATTACTTGAGCATCTGCTCTGTGCAGGGCATCAAAGGTACAAACAGGATAAAGCATCCACCCTGGCTCTTGAGCAGTTCTCAGGGAAACAGTTGAAACCTTAACGGAGCTACACACAGAGTGGCTGGAACATGAAGGAGGGGAGTCAACTCTTTGTCCTTTGCAGGCATTGAGGGTAGTGGTGGAGGATGGCTGGGATGGAGCAGTGTCTTAAAGAAGAAATGGAGAGTGCTAGGCAGCAGAGACAAGGGCCAAACTTGGGAGGGGCTTGAGCAAGGGCTGAGAGGCTGAGAAAGAAAGCGGATGTGGGGTGGGGGCTGCTAGTGATGAGGCAGGAGGGAGGGAGGAAAGGTTGGTGTAGTCCAACCTTCAGAGCCACCACATTGAGGGTTTTGGATAGTTATGTATTCAGTTTCTCATCATTCTCCTCTCTAATGCGCATCATTCTCCTCTCTAATGCGCACTGCTAATTGAATGTTTTTTATGGACTCCAAGACCCACATTAACACTGTCTACTTTTAATTCCATACAATGGGGAAAAATCTCTTGGTTTTATTGACTGCTTCTTTATCTGACTTCACCTAATTGGAAAATAAACAGATAAAATGATACCTTTACTACTGATGAATAATTCATGTCCTCTTTGTCTTTTGTCATAGGAGAAAGCCTAGCAGGTCTTTCTTAAGTTAGGATATCTGGTAGATGAGAGAAAAATGTGAACGATTAACTGCAAATTGAGTTTAGTGTGAATTCCTGAGCATCCCGACTCCTCCTCTGTAATAAAGTTTAGATTGGTTCACTTAACGGTTCACCTGGCTCTGGTGGAGCCCAAATTTAGAACATATGAATGCTATTGACCTGTTAATTTGAAACGTTTTAATCTGCATAAAAATGGATTGTATTAATTGTCTCACATTAACCAGGTCTGACTATAATGTCTGATTGAATTAGGCTGAGTTTTCTGTATCTTAGCTCTTTGCAGTTTCATTTGCCCCAAACATGTGTAACTTTTTTCTCCTCCATGCCTGTCATCTGAGCAAGTTGGGCTGTGTTGCTCTCAGATTAGAGAGAAATCCCACTCACCTTCAGCAAATACTAATACCTATCATCCTCACATTGCCTATACTGCTTGACACCACTCTCGGAAACATTCCTCTTTTCTAATTACCCTTGGTAACATTTCGCCACCCCGATCTCACTGGTTTATGTCATTTTCAAAATCCTGGTAAATAACTTTAACTCCTTACCGGAGTCTGTGCTTCAAAATAAATACTGGAATTTAAAATTCTATTTTTAAAAAGATGTAATTTTTAATTATTTTATAAACATACACTATCTGCAGTAGGCTGGACACCCTGCTAGATACCAAGGGCATACAACATAGCTGAGTTTGATCCTGCCCTTAGCGAGATCACAGTCTGGTTCTGGTGATACGGTTTAAATATGAAAAGTTAAATAATGGTGCAAATCAACATTTAAAGTGAAAATTCCAGGCCAAAAGTGATTAATGTTTGAGTGATGGAATCTATGGGGAATAAGAAATCTTTAAGGCCCCTGAATGGGCCCTATGTGTTGATTTTGTTTTTTTTCTTCACAATTCTGGATTCTGAGGCTATTCTTCATTCCTTCCTGAGTCAGGAATAATCTTCCCCTCTATAACTCAATAAAGTCACCACCTGTTTTGGGAAGCCTTCCTTGGCCTTCCTTGTCTGATTAAGGTGCCCTCTTCTGGGCTGTTTATGCATCTTAGCCTGTCATAAGCCATCATTGTATTTATCTTGCCATTTACTTGTTTCTTTCAATCAGCTGGAGTGAAGGGCTCAACCGGCAACATACAGGAAGGAAAGACTAGAGAGAGGATTTAGGGAGAATTAGGTGGTATATCCATGCCCTTTCTACTCAACCTGTGGTCCATGGACCAGCAGGCTTAGCATCACCTGGCAAGGAGTTAGAAATGCAAAAAAAAATCTCAGAACTCTCCTGAGACCTACAGAATCAGAAGCTAAACTTTAGCAGATCACTAGTCATTCATAAACGTATTAACATTCCAGAACCCTTGAGCTGATCTAGCATTAAAGAAACCTGAGGGTCTTTAGAAAGGACTGCTGCTTGGGCCCCACCCACAGAGGTTCTGATTTACTTGGTTGGGATGTAGCCAATTAAAAGCTTTCCAGGTGGTGCAACAGTGCATTCACAGTGGTGAGCCCCCTCCAGGTTAGCATTTTCTAAGTGCTGTCCCCTGTCATCACGCTTATTGTGTGGTACTGTCATCTTCATATAGGTACTTTCTTAAACATTTCTATATTTGTGTATGCTGAGATTTAATAGAGTATCTCCTACTGCATAATTGTTTCATAAAAGTGAATGGAAAATTAACCTGGGTGGAGGCCTCTAATGATGATTTTGGCAATGACATTGGAGAAAACTTATTGAAAAATGCCATCAACAGCTTGTGTGAAGAATTGAGCCATATAAATGGCAGAAAAAGTGGTTCAGAAGGTTTTTGGTTGGCCAAAGTCAAAGTCTACGGGGTAAGTCAGGTGCTTGGTGCCCAGATTTCATGGGAATGGAGTGTGTTGGCATGGGGAAGACTCAGCTTGATCTCTTTTAATAGGAAGAGAGAGGCTTACAGGGTTGATTCACTTTGAGCCCTAGATAATGCACTAGTGATACTTATTGGGCAGCTAAGAAAATCACAATATGACTTTGTAATGCGTTAATGGAAGTGCAAAGTTTATTTGTACTGGGCACTGGAATCTGCATCTCCTCTGGGTACCACACTTGAGGATTTAGTGAGCATTGTGGATAATGTAGATATCACGTCATGGGAGGGAGGTATATTCAAATGAATGCCTGGAGAAAAGAGGATGTGGCAAGTACATGACTGCTTTTTTTCATAAGGGCTGACTGTTTTGTGAAAAGAGAGCAGAATTGTGCTGTGCTGCTCCACAGGACATAGCTAGGGCCAGTGGGATTCATGGAGGCAGATTTTGGCTCAACATCGGAAAGACTTTGTGCCAGTGAGAGCCATCCAATAATAGAACTGGCTGCCTGGGGAGATGGTGAGAGCGAGCGAGCTCTCTATCTTTGGAAATGTTCTAGCAGAGACTGGATAGCCATCTGTCGTAGGTATTGTGGAAAGAGTCATGCATTTGGTGGATGAGCAAAATTTTGTTGGTGATGATGACAGTAGTAAATGTGACTACCATATACTGAGTGCCTTTGAAGTGCCAGGTATGCTGCTAGGCATGTCAATATTCATTATCATCTTTCATCCTTTTACAGCCATAATGGAAGTGAGAGCTATTACTCCCATTTTATAGAAGAAATGGATTCAGGGCTAGGATTTGAACCCTGGGTTTTATGACTCAAAACCCATAATCTTTTAACTGTATCACCTGCTTTTTATGATTCCTTCCATCTCTAAGATTCTGTGATTTCAAGTGTATTCAGATACTGGATTTGAAGTGACCTTTACACGCCCATGTATAAAAAGTCTGATAGAGAGCTGGATGCGAAGGCTTGGGAGTCGAAAGAGTAGTCAGGGTGGCAGATGTAGACTTGAACATCCTCTGCCAAGAGGTGAGAGTTGATGCCACTGGGTTGGTAAGATTCTCAAGGTAGTGACTGCAGAGAGAAGGGGCCATGGTGGGCTGACTCCTTCCCGTGTGGTGCTGGAAAAAGCCATGGGAATAGATGTGAGTCCTGCTTTCTGAGAAGGAAGGAGTGATCTTAGTGCATATTGGAAGATGGGTTTCTAACCTCAGTAACATGTGAATACTTCTATACATTTTTTGGATTCTATTTAATAGATTGAGACTTTGCAAAGTCAAGTGCTGAAATTGGAGTCAGTATAATACGGTGGCCAAAGGGAGAGCCTCTGCCTGAGTTGATACCTGGACATTGCTACTCCTTAGCTGTGTGCCCTTTAACACATTACCTTTGTATACCTTCGTTTCATCATCTGTAAAATTAATGCATTTGGTTGCACTTTTTAAGCTGTATTAATCTCCTTTCTGACTGTAATACATAGTTTACTTTACATAATTGAGGCAGCAAAAAGTAGAAGTTAAAAGAAGGACTGTGTAGTCAGACTGCTTGGATTTAAATTTCGGCTTCATCATTTACTAGCCCTGTAACCTGGGGCAATTTATTTAGTCTCAGTAAGCCTTGGTTTCTTTGGTGTAAAGTGGAGATAGTAGTAATAACTACCACATAGGGTTTTGTGATTAAATGAGATTATATGTATAGGGTACTTAGAATAATCCTTAGAGATCTTCAACATAGGAAGCATTCAACAAATGATAATGGTGATATATATAATATTTTATAACAAAGAAACTTGTGCCTTGGGGTCCTTATTGTAGGAATTGGTGTTGATTTTATAATCCCATAATGTGTGAACATGATCTATAGACATGTTTCTCTCTGAGCAAGAGATCCATGCATTGTAGTATGTGCATGGATAGGTTTATATAGAATCTTTGATTCTCCTGAAATAGTAGGCAAGACTTGGGGGAATGCATGTCTATATGGAGAAGATCTATTTTTTCATTAATGCTCTATGACCTTACAAAATTCAAGAAGTTAGTGTGCATAATAATCTTGTAGATGTACATGAGGCTATTAGTGAACATAAACAAAAAATCTGGTTGCCAGTGTCTGTTAGTCAGTTTTCACACTGCTGTAAAGAATACCTGCAACTGGGTAATTTATGAAGGAAAGAAGTTAATTGACTCACAGTTCTGCATGGCTGGGGAGGTCTCAGGAAACTTCTTAGAATCATGGCATAAGGCAAAGGGGAAGCAGGCACCTTCTGGGACCTTGCTGGCACCCCCCATAATACAGTCCTCTCCCACTAGGTCCTTCCCTTGACACAATTCGAGATGAGATTTGGGTGGGAATACAGAGCCAAACCCTATCACAGTACTTAAGGAATAAAGCCATTTGTTATCGGATATAACAGAAACCCAGAGGGAGTGGTCCCAAGATCAGTGCAATAGTTCAAAGTTGTTATCAGGGGCTCAAGTTCTTTCTTTCAGCCCTGTGCCATCCTTAGATTAATTGCTTCCTGGTCCCAGGATAGCTGCTATAGATCCAAGTATCACACCTTCATAGAACTTCATGGAAAACAGAAAGAAGCCAGGGCAGCCAGGATGATAAGAAGAGGTTTCCTTACTTATCTCCTTTCTTTGATCGAGGTTATTTTTTTTTTTCCCAGAAGGAACTCCCACAAAGCAAGACAACCCACCTACCCTCTGTTTATTCGTATTTTGCCAGAACTGTATCATAGTGCCACTTCTAGCCAGAAGGGAGTCCAAGAAAGCAAGTATCTGGCTTTTTCAAAATCTCTGAGGAAAGTGGGCAAGAAAAGGCAGTGTAAGGGAAAAAGCTTCCTATATGTCAATGCACTAATGAAAATGTGAGAGCTCATTGCCTTAAGAGAGGTCACACAAAATACCTGAATTGGGGGAGGGGGTGTTTTGTGTTAAGAAACAGACATCCAGAGAAGGACCAAGGGAATTAGGGAGGGCTTCAAGGACCTTCAAGATGCCTTACCCTAAACAGGCGTCTTTCCTTGGTGACTCATGCAGAGGAAGTGGCTGGATTCCAAATATGTGTATAGAAAAACTGCCACAGAAGAGGCAGCGATTTGTTCATGTTTGCAGCTGCTGACTCTGACCCAAATCTGCCCTCCCCCAATCCTCAGCTGCTGGTACCAATGCATCCTTTTGGGAGCTGGACCATGAGCTCTGCCAGGAAGAAGGTGCCCATCTCAATGGTTCCCCGCTTCAATCCCCAAGCAAGCTGTTTCCAGAGAAGGGGAGTAGCACACACAATAGTAACCGGTTTAGTAATTAGCAGCAGCCCTGGGGCCATGCAACACTTCTAAAAAGACAAGGTGGTTCAATAAGATCTGCCACGACCCCTGAGAATGTTCTAGATGGAAAGACAGGTGGGGATCTCCAATGCTGATGACATGGAGGCCTTTCACCCTCAGTGGTTAGAGGGCACAGGTTAGGAAATGGGGAACAAAAGCAAAACAGGTGGACATGGAGGCTGTGTTTCTGTTGTTGATGGAAGACCATATTTTTATACATGATCTTGGCAAAGTGTGCTACTGTAAAGAGCAGGCATAGAACTGTGATGGTGCAGTCCTTTCAAAACAAACATGCAAAATGTGAAACCACAACGTAACAAGCCCATGTCTTTACCCATCTCTTTTATCCTCAATCCAGAGGCTGAGGAATCCGATGAAATTTTTTTTTTTTTTTTTTTTTTTGCAAATTACCGGGTAAACAAAAAGTTGAAAGTTTAATACTGCATTTATTATATTGAGTCAACGTGCCCTATGCATATTTTCTCTAATAGAGGGTGGAAGAATCCAATGAGATCAGTGAAGATATTTTTTATCTCCCTTGGGAGGCAAAGGGGAAGCAGGCACCTTCTTTACAAGGCAGCAGGGAACTAGCGAGTGCACACAGAGGAGGTAGCTTTTGATCTGATTCTCGAAGGCTGAGTAGGAACTTGCCTGGCTTATGGAGGTATATCAAGATTGTGGAGGTGTTAGGTATTCTATCTACCAGAGTATTTTAAGCTGTGGGACAGCATCTAAAGGGCATAAAGTTGTAAAATTCAATGAATATGTGACATTTTGTTTACTTAGTACTTTTCTCCTTTTCTTTAGAAAGAAACAACCAATTTTCTTTTTCTGGAGGATTTTCTTTACCAAACCTGAATTGTGTGGTTGGTTTGGAGCTACCATTCAGTTCCACAATCAACTGATCTGGGAGTATGCAAATCACTCTCTCTGGACCAATCAAAGTCTTCCCTGGGATTTTTTTTTTTTTTTTTTTTTGAGTTGCAGCTGGGAAATTTCAGTCAGCATCTTGCTGGAGACAAAGTGAGAGATGCTGTGTGCGATTTGTAGATGGCTCTGACCTTGCCATTTGGAAATACTCCGGACTACAGGAGACAGAAACCCTATTCAAATGAACTTAGATACAAATGGCATTGACTGTAAAATTTACAAACGCATAGTCCATGTCTGTCTCTCCTTGCTAGTTGATCTTCACAAAAGCAGACTAGGCACTTTCAAATGGTGGCACTCAGTATCAACAATGACTTCCATTGTCATTCTGATGAGAAAATAAAATCTCATTGAGGTTGAGGGAGGGTGGGAGGCAGGCAAAAAATAAATAAATAAGAAAACTTCATATTAGACTAGTGTTTCTCAAGTGTTGATGTACCTGTAAATCACCTGGAGATCTTCCTAACATGCAGATTTTGACTCAATAGATCTGGAATGGTACCGGAGACTTCATTTCTAATAAGCTCCCATGTGAGGTGGATGCTGCTGTTTCAAAGGCTACTCTTTGAGTAACGTAGTGTTCAAAGATAATGCTTGAGGATTCAGCAAATATGAAAAGATGGTACAGCATAAGGTGGTATAGGAGTGGGGTAGAAGTGAGCTGTGATTTTCAATAGGATAATTAGGACAGGCCCATAGAGGTAATCTTTGAGCATACTTGAAAGTGGTCATTCTATTTACGTGACTAAAAAAAATTGTGTTTTAAGAACACGTATTAGTTTACTGCTGCATAACAAATTACTCTAACATGTAGCAGTTTAAAAAAGCAAACATTTATAATCCCACAGCTTTGATGGGTCAGTTGAGTTGGGTCCCCTTGCTCAGAACCTCTCACAAGACTGCAATCAAGGTATTGGCCAGAGCTGCTCCCGTCATTGCGAGGCTCACCCGGGATGGATCTGTTTCCAGGCTCACTCAAGGGGCCGTTGGTGGACCTCAGTTCCTCACATGCTGTTGGACTGGGGGTCTCAGTTCTTCTTAGGCTGTTTGCCGGAGGCTTCCCTTGGTTCCCTGTCATGTGGCCTCCTGATAGGGTGGCTCACAAATATGGCAGCTGGCTTCCATCAGAGCAAGCTAATGAGAGGGCAAGAGATGGAGAGCAAGATGAAAGTCGGGGTCTTTCTATAACCTAATTTATCAAGTGACATCCCATTACTTTTTGCCATATTCCATTTATTACAAATAAGCATACTTGCTTACAAGTAAGTCACTAAGTCCAGCCCACACTCAGTGAGGAGACTACCAAAGGCATGAATATTATTAGACAGGGATCACTTGGGGCCATTTTAAGATGGCTGCCACAGCACATATTTGCCTGTTACCTCAGAATCTGAATGTCTATGCCCTTATGTAGGTTGCCGTCACTGTTGGTTTGATTAGGAAGGAGGATCATGGGAATTTTTTGGCTCCCAGCAGAAACTAGGATTGGCCTAAATGGTTCTCACTGAACAACTTTACTTTGGCCAATCTTCAACTTTTGAGGTAGATCCAAGCTGCTTTTTATTTTTTTCTTTTTTTTCTTTTTGAGACATCCGAGCAGAGGCTGGTAGGCCACCTGAGAGCTTGTGGGCAGCTGAGCTCTGACTGACCCCCTGGCCATTTTAGCGCTGCCAATAAAATTGCCTGAGGAACCTGCCAAGGAGACAGATGCTGCTGCTGGAGAAACACCTTCTGTAGCCTGGCATTTGTCCGGTAATTGCTGTCCAAGAGAAAATAAAATCTTCATTTGAGGGGGAAGGTGGATGGCTCCTGACTGTCAAGTGTAGAGATGATTTAGAACAAGTGCTGCAAATAAAATGCACAAGATTTTATTACAAAATAAAATACATTTGTATAGATCTAAGATTTGACTCTTTAAAAATCCACTGACTTAGGAAGTGCTTCTTGTTTTCTAGGCATAGAATAATACACAGTAAATTGGATTATGTACAAAATGCCTCACCTGTTTTCTCTCTCCTGTTCTGTTTGAAGTCATATTTCTTTTGCGATAGTCAGAGCCACTATTTCCTCTGCCTTATAGATTCATAATGTAGACACAGCACTGGTTTAGGACTGGACAATAGGCTTCGTCACTTACTAAGAGGGAATTTAAGCTTTTGTCTACAGTTTTCCGATCTTTAAATTGGGGTGGTAATACACCTATCCTAAACTCGTTTTAAAAGTGAATAAAGTTACCCCAGAAAAAGTTCCTTGCCATATTGTAGACACTTAATAAATAGGGTCTCTATAGCTGCTATACCTGTACTTACAATAACAGTGGTGGGAGGAGTTTATAGTCTTCCAACATAGGAAAACCAAGGCCCAGAAGGTTTAAGGTGTTTCTTAAAGATCATATAATAGGTGGCCGGGCGCGGTGGCTCATGCCTGTAATCCCAGCACTTTGGGAAGCCAAGGCGGGCGGATCACGAGGTCAGGAGATCGAGACCATCCTGGCTAACATGGTGAGACCCCGTCTCTACTAAAAGTACAAAAAATTAGCTGGGCGTGGTGGCAGGCACTTGTAGTCCCAGCTACTCGGGAGGCTGAGGCAGGAGAATGGCATGAACCTGGGAGGAAAAGGTGTCAGTGAGCCGAGATCGCACCACTGCACTCCAGCCTGGGTGACAGAGCGAGACTCCGTCGCAGAAAAAAAGATCATATAATAGGTAAGCTTTCCACCATCTATCCATGCATCTATTTACCCACCCACGTACCCACCTAACTATCCACCCATCTGTTCATCCAGCAAATATTTTTTGAGGTGTGCCCTTTGAGGATGCTATATTCATTGCAGTGGCTATAGTGACAAAGAACTCAGGTAAACTGGTGCTCTCAAGAGGTTAAGATAGACAATGAGCAAACACATTATTAATAGAATTTACATGGAATAAGTAATATATAATAAATAGTTTGAAATGATACAGTAACTGGTATGAGGACACAAGGAGGCAATTTTAGTTTGGGTGGCCTCAGAAAACCACTTTAAATAGGTGACATTTGAGTGGAAACCTATAAGACAAGAAGGAGCCAAGAGAGGAAACACAACTGCAAAGACCCTGAAGCAGAAAGGACAGAAGAAGTGGGGTGGTGGGCATTTCTCAGATCAGATAGGGTATCTATAGTTATGCCAGGAGAAAATTTGGTTAAACAAATTATAGAATTTCTGGTCTTATTTAAAGTAAGTGCCCTTGACAAAGGGCTTTTCAAAGTTGTTAATATTTATTATGATATCTCAATGGATCAGGGACTATTATATTATTGTTTTGAGAACTATTTAACCATGGATCCATCCTCTCTTTTCTTCCTTGCCTCCTTCCCTTCTTCCCGTCTGTGTACCTGTTCATCTGTCCTTTTTTTCCATCTGTTCATCCCTTTCTTTGTGTGTGTGTGTGTGTTTTGTGTTTTTTTTTTCTGAGACAATGTCTTGATATGTTGCCCAGGCTGGCCTGGGACTCCTGAGCTCAAGCGATCCTTCTGCCTCAACTTCCCAAGTAGTTGGGACCACAGGTGTGCCCCACCAGGCCTAGCTTATCCCTTGCTTATTTTTAAAGAGCATCCTTACGAGATAGAGCGTTCTGTGGGAAACCTGGGTAAATTGCTTAGTGAACATTCATTAGATCCTCTGAGCCTCACAACATCCCTAATGTAAGCAGGGATTGGCATTCAATACTGCAGAAAAGAGAACTAGGGCTTGGAGTGTGAAGGACCTGCCAATCCTCTGATGAAAGTTGAACCAGGTCAGCAAATCACATGTGAGACTCCAAGTCAGGTGCTCTTCCCAAAACTCTGGCCACAGCTCCAGCTTCAGCTGACAGAGCCTGGGACATTGATTTTTCTAAGTGCTCTGATATTTTGATGTTTTTCAAAAATTAATAACAAGGACAATTTTGACAAAGTTTCCCCTTGGTGGGAAAATGTTTCCTTTTAAGTCTGTTGTCAGTATTAAGTATGTGTATCTATTGAGAACAACCATGTTCTCATAGCTATTGGGATATTTTGAGGAGCTGAGTGAGTAAATTGCGTAGGGAACAAACTCATGTCTCTCCTGCCAAAAGATGCAGAATCCTGTTTTCTTTGAAGAATGGCTGTCTTGGTCATTTTGGACTGCTATAACAGAATGCCATAGAATGGGTGGTTTGTAAATAACAGAAATTTACTTCTTACAGTCCTGGAGGCTGGAAGGTCCAAGATCAAGGCTCCAGCAGATTCAGTGTCTGTGAGAATCCACTTCCTGGTTCATAGATGGCACCTTCTCACTGTAACTTCACACGGTGGAAGGGGTGAGGGACTTCTCTGAGGTCTTTCCTGTAAGAACATGAATCCTATCACCTTCCAAAGGCTGCACCTCCAAATTCCATCATCCTAGGGATTAGGTTTCAATGTATGAATTTCTGTGTGTTTGCAGGAAGAGGGGGCATAAACATTGTCTATGGAAATGGCTAAATTACATTTTCTGAATAATAAACGTAATATAATGTTAACAACCACTGACTGAACATCTGCTGGAACAGGCGTGGTGGGAGGTCAGCTTTGTATTAAACTACTCACCCTAACAACATCTTGAGTGGCAGGTGCCATCAATTCCACTTTTTTATTATGGAAACTATGGCCAGACCGGGGCCAACTTACCCCTTCCTCATAGCAGGCACAGTGCCTCAGGCCCCTACTGTATTTTTGAGGTCCCACAAATAGATTTTCACTTCTTTTAAACTCAGAAGAAGGAAATGGACTTTTAGGGTCAAAGATTATGCTTGTCATAATACCAACACTGTAATTGAATATAATTTTTTTAACACATTTTGTAAAGAAAGGAGCCTATGAAAGAAGCAGTGCTCAGGTCCCCTGACTGTCATATTGTGGGGACCAGGCTAGGGCTCGGGGAAGTTGCAGCTCATTCAAAGCCGTGCAGGAGAGATGGGCAAAGCAGGACCCACACAGACTCAAACCTGTGCTATTTTCCTGCCATACCTTGAGGCCTCATTCTCAATTGGCTTTACCCCACACTCTCTAGCTTTCAGCCTCAGCATCATTTCCACAGAAACAGTGAGTGCCTAAAAACTGGGGCACTGCATCCTTAATTTTAGCACCCCATCTGCTCCTGGATAACGACAGACAGAAATGCACAAAACCTTCTTTTCCGAGAGCCTCATCCCAGGATTCCTGAGCAAGTGTTCAGGCCCACCCAGGGCTTCATGAGAGCAAGCGCTGCCGTGACCTTGTTAAAGTGGACAGTTCAGTCCAGCAAAAGCGTCCCTCTCTGTTCCATTAGGCCAAGTGTGGAACCGTCCCCCTGGAACTCTGAGATAATGAGCAAGTGGAGAAACAGGTGGAAAGCAATAGTGCTGGAGTTTGCACACTCCACTGCTGCTCACCGGCCACTGCTGCAAATGAGAACCTTTGGGAAGTTTGGCCCTCATTTCCCTGCACACCGAGAGGTCAGTGTGAATAGGGGCCATTTTACATTCAAGGCACAAGACACTTTACTCCAGTAAATGGAGTTTTAATAAAGCCTTTGTATGATTCCGGGTATCACAACAACTAAATCAGATCCTGGATGCATTAGCCTGGGCCCTGGTGATGTTCCCTATGGCATTTCACTTATGATGTGACACTTACTACCTTTGCCTGAGTTTATCATTAGGAAGAGATTTCTAAATTATTGTAGACGGCATCTGCTTAGATAAAATTATGTGTCCCCTCTTTGGACTTCACTTTCCCCAGTGGTAAAATGAAAGACTTAGGTTATTTCTAAACTCTCGTCTAGTTCTGGATTTTATTTTTTGAGTGACTACTAAGGGAGAGACCCTTTGCCTGAGTTTATCATTAGGAAGAGGTTTCTAAATTATTGTAGACGGCATCTGCTTAGATAAAATTATGTGTCCCCTCTTTGGACTTCACTTTCCCCAGTGGTAAAATGAAAGACTTAGGTTATTTCTAAACTCTCATCTAGTTCTGGATTTTATTTTTTGAGTGACTACTAAGGGAGAGACCCCAAGTTAAGGGCTGGGGTCGTGTTGTGGGGATCACATGAGATTATGGATGGCATAAAAATGTGTAAATCTTATTCACCTTTCTTTTGACAGAGAGTAACAACAGTCAGTTATGAAGGAACAACTGTGGACTCAAGGACTTTAGATACCTCCGCCTCCCTTGCCACAGTACTAATGTTGCAGGATAAATATTAGTAACATTTCAGAGATGAGAAATTTAGGTTCAGGGAGGTTAAGAAACCATAACGTTTAGCGCCAGGGATTAAGTAGAAGACTGACTTCACCTTGTGGTCTTCATTATTTTTACCATCACCATCATCATGTTTATTGCCATTGTATTATGGTCACAAGAAAGATGCATTCACATGGATGGTAACACAAACACAGTCAATATCAAGTTATATTGGTTTGAGTTAAGGTGTCCACTGATGACCTTTGCCTGGATATAGATTGTGTAGGAAATAAAGGGTGTGGGACATTCCAAGTGTTAGAGCATCCAGAAAAGTTAACTTTTCCAGATGAGTTAAACCGAATCTTCATTTATTGGGAGCAAGGTCCAGGGCCATAAACACATGCTCCCTAACATAACTGAATGTCCTTCCTCCCCTTCAGACAGGTTCCAGCCAAGAAGTGGTGTGTGTGTGTGTGTGTGGTGGTTGGCAGGAGGTGGGGAAGAACAACTCCTATCATTCTAAGTCAGCTACACAGAGTTTGATGTCTGATTTTTTTTTTCTTTTCATTTTCACATTCTAAGCTTGGGGAATTTGATGACTTAAATGGCTGCCTCAGTTTCCCAGTGTGCTCAGGCTTCAGGAATCCAAACTTATCAAGTCTGTGGAGACACCTAGAGAAACAGGACAAATTTAATCTTGCCACCTTCAGATTGAGCTTTGTCCCCACGTGGGACTGCTTAGCAATCATGATGACAGAGTGTACTTTGTTCCATCATCCTGCCTAGCCCACTATGTCATTAGAACAGCAACAGCCATTATAAGGCCGTGTTGCCCTTCTCACGCTGGGTGACACTTAACAGCTGTCGTTTTCTTGGGGCCATCAAATGAACAAATTGGAGCAGTGGGCTTTGGGGTCACAAAGACATTTTCAAATCTGAGTTCTGCCGCTTGTCTGTCAATCTGGCTGTCTATCTGTCTGTCTATCATCTATCTATTTTTTTTTTTAGAGATGGGCTCTTGCTCTGTCACCTAGGCTAGAGTACAGTGGCACTATCATCACTCAGCGCAGCCTCAAATTCCTAGGCTCACACACTCCCCACCTCAGTCTCCCAAGTAGCCGGGATTACAGGAGTAAGCGACCATGCCCATCTCTCTATCTGTATTTTCTTGAGTAAGAACTTTAACTCTCTGCATCTAAGTTTCTTATCTGTGACATGGAAATGAAACTATTAAACCCTTGTGGTTGTTCTGCAGAGAAATGACAGTAGCATTTTGAAGCTATCTCACTACAGTGATGGGAGCAGGGTTAGTGGGATAGACGAAATGAGATTATTATTTTTCTTTTTTTTCTTTTACAAATGAGGAAAGGGAGCCTCACAAAAGTTTTCCTTTCCAGAGTTGCTTGGGGAGTGATTGGAGAAGCCAGCCCGGAAAACCCTAGCCTTCTGGGCACAATTGCTTACTTCCTGCTAGACTACGAGCCACTTAGCAGCGAGGACTCTGCCATACTTTCCATCTCTAGGGCCCAGCTCTGGTATCCACTTTGTTGATCTCATCCTTTACTTCTTTTTCCCTCTCCTCTGTGTCCCATACTAGTATCTCCACTGTTCTTTGATGAAAGTGCTTGGCTTATTTCTGCCTCAGAGTTTTTGGGGCTTGCTGTTCCCTCTGCCTCAAATGTTCTTCCCCCAGATCTCTGCATGGCACACACCTTCACCCTCTTAAAAGTTTTGCTCCAATGTCATCTCCGTATGGCCTTTGCTAACTACTCATTAAAAAGACTTACTCCCCTCCAGCACTTCTTATAGCCCTCCCATCCTTACTTTTCTTCATAACACTTACCAATACCTGACACATTGTATACTTGATAGACTTGATTGATTTATTGTCCACCAACCTTCACTAGAACATAAGCTGTGTCCTCAGAACTGAACAATGTATGGTAAACAGCTGGCAGTCTGTAAATTATACTATGCATTGATTGAAAGAGTAAATAAACGTGTTTGGAGTGGCGGGGGTCTGTGCATGAATGCCTCTTGCCCTGATGATGTTTGTGGCAGAACACTAAACTGCATCCCCCCATGTGATTGATTGCTCCTTGCCCAACTCCTTCTCTTGTGATCACTGAAAGTCACTAATTGTGATCTCAGCTGTGTACTTTGTCCTTCCTTCTTTGTGGGGTGGCTTTGAGCTCCCACAAGGGCCAGGAGGGCTGTCTGTTCTGGAGCTTTGCTCTGCAGCATGATCAACATGGGTAATGTAGTATTTAACTTAATTTTTTTTTCATCTCTGAGTAGAGCTCTTTACTAGAAATTAATTTGCCCAGGTTGTTGGGGTTTGTTTGCTTTCAGCTGCTGAGTTACTTCTTCTGTGTCTGAGTTCTTTCTTGCCTGTGCCTGTGCCTGGAGTTCTAGGAAAATGTTTCCTAGAATGCTAGAAAACATTGAGTTTTGGTAAGTTATGTTACCTGAGTTTTGGTAAATTATGTTATGTACAAAGGGCTCCCTCTAAAGTGTGGGCAGAAGTCTTATCATGCTTTAATTCTTTTAAAAGACACTTTTATGCTTTTTGAAATGTTTAAAAACAAACTTATTTTGGAGCAGAAATCCTAAAAGTGAATGAAGCCAGAAATTGCCTAATAATACAAATCATATGGAAGTATTCTCTGCGACAGATGTTATGAACGATGGGCTCAGTGGACCACAGTGGTCTCAGAAGTGGACTAAAGATCAGGTGACCTAGCTAACTGATGTGTGTAACTCACTCATTGTGTAACTTCAGGCAAAGCATTCGATCTTTCTAAGATCATTCTTCATCTGCAAAGTAAAGACTCTAGGCCAGGGGTATCCAATCTTTTGGCTTCCCTGAGCCACGTTGGAAAAAGAAGAATATCCTTGGACCACACATAAAATACACTAATGATAGCTGATGAGCTAAAAAATGTCACAAAAAAATTTCATAATATTTTAAGAACGTTTACGAATTTGTGTTGGGCCGCATTCAAAGCCACCCTGGGCTACATGTGGCTGTCAGGGTGCTGGTTGGACAAGCTTGCTCTAGGCTATGGGTCTAGCTGATATCCGAGTTTTTTTTTCATCTTTAAAGCCCTAGACTAGAAGCCTAAAGACTTTGATCTTAGCTTGGTTACAGCCATTTACCAGTACTGGACCTCAGGGTAAGTCAGTTTCCTTCCCAGAGCCTCAGTTGCTCAGTCTTTAAAATGAGCACTGAGATTACTATTTTGTGTTTTTCTGAGGGTATTGAGAGAACTTCATTTGGATACACAGATGGAAAAGTACTTTTTAGCCATTCAGTCTTCTTATTATTAGAAGCCATTTCTTATTTTACTGTGATTTTGTGGCAATATGCCACCAGAATGATTGGATAAAAGTTAGAAGATGAAAAGTCAGTGCACATAGTACTGACAATTTTTAAATTGTGCTTTTAAAACATATTGGGTTTTTGTTTCCTTTTTGAATTTTTTTTTAAATCCCCACTTTACATGTTAAGTTCTTGACTTGAGCTTTGGGAAAGTGTTCACAGCTTTCATAAAATTTTTCAAAGGAGTATTTGATATACCAGTTTTTTTCAGCCTTGTGATTTTCTGTGGGTGTTTCCCCCTGGAATTCCTGAGAGGAGGAGATCTTTTCATGCTTCTTCTGATCATATATCCATTCCTCCTTGCATGGACGTTAACTGGTAATATCTAGAGAATCACAGATGTCAAGAGAATGACTGTTTGCAGGACTAGCTTGCTGCTCTCTGGAAGCTGAAAGCTAATGGGCACCTAATCAAGGCTGGCTCATTTTTTAGGGATAACTCAATTACAAATCTGGATGAACTGACCTACTAGTTTGGCTCTTGGAAGCCATTTAGTATTCTGTTATCTTTATTTTGGTCTTTTTATCTCTAAAGAATACTTTTAATTTAGACTGTAAATTTTAATGAGCTAAGGTTAAAGTTCCCTCCAGAGAGGGAAAAAGCACTATTATTCAGGTTAGTGACCCCACAGCTCTCATCAGGTGGCTGGGCAAAGGTGCAGAGATTCAACAGATTGGACAGGAGGTGTAGTCTAGATTCAGCAGATGGAGAAGGAGACCTGGTCTGGGAGGTGTGATCTAGATTCCATAGCTAGGGAAAGAAGGTGGTCTAGGAGGTGTGGTCTAGATTGAATTGACAGGGAAGAGAGTATGGTCTATATTCAACATACAGGAAAGGGGGTGTGGCCTAAATTCAACAAACAGGAAAGGAGGTGTGGCCTAGATTCAACAGATACGAAAGGGGGTGTAGTCTAGATTCAACAGACAGGGAAGGGGATGTGGTCTGGATTCAACAGACAGGCAAAGAAGGTGTGGCCTAGGTTCAGCAGACAGGAAACGGGGTGTGGTCCAGATTCAACAGACAGGAAAGGGAGTGTGGCCTAGATTCAACAGAAAGGGAAAGAGGGTGTGGCCTAGACTCAGCGGATGGAGAAGGAGGTGTGGTCTGGGAGGTGCGGTCTAGATTCAACAGATGGTGAAGGAGGTGTGGTCTCACCAGCTGGGGAGGAGTGGGGAAGATTGTGGGCAACTCACCTACTAGCAAGAGGTCCTGCTCTTTCACTATCATTCAGGGTGGCAGTACCTGTACTAGGGCTGATAATCTAATTAAGGTAGCATAATATAGAGCCAGAAGTCAGGTGGTATTTACAAGGTACAGAAGAGATCTTGGACTCAAAAGGCATGGAGTCCAGTCCTATTTAGCTGGAAAATCTGTGGCTTATATCATCTCCAACCATGGTAAAATGAGGACAGCACCATGAAGATGAAATGAAAGCACAAAAGAGAAGGTATTTGGCAAACCATGACAGTCGTTGTTAGAAAGGAAATGTCAAATGAGTGCACAAAGAGGGACCCGAGGGGACCCTCCTAAAAAACTGCAAGATCCTTTCCTTTCACTGTTGCTATGTTCTGACAAGGTTTGTTGTCTTCCTGTTAAATGGGAGGTGAGTGTGGAGTGGAGAAAGCGAGTTGTTTGGGCCTCAGGCCTCAACCTCCACTTGAAGCCTACACAAGCTCACCTTTGCTACCCTGCAGAGAAGGCAAAAGGAGTTAATGATGAAATGTCAGAAAGGCCCTTGGGAGCTTTTAGAAATTCTCACCAGGTAAGATTGCACTCACATAATATCAAATATACAGAGCTGCCATGGTCGTATCATTAATTATTTTATTGTTTTTATTATTAGTAATACTTCATCCAAAGAGTCCATTTTTAAAAATGTTGTTAGATATGCTTAAGTAAATGACTATAATATTTCTTTTAAAGCTTCGCATAAGAGCAGGCTACCCAGAAGCCTTGTACTTGGCAAGCAGAAATGAATCTAAACTGTTTTCCGAATTTACCAAGTGCTTGCCTGAACAGACAAGGAGCCTGGGGGGATTTCTTGTGGGAGTGATGAGCTGTGAATCCCAATATAAGATGTGTGTAAAAAAAAAAAAAAAAAAAAAAAGCCTGTTCTAAGAGAGAAAAGAAGTTTCTGAGTGTTTGGCAAAACAGGGTATTTTTAAACTGAGAAAAAAATAGTATTGTGGGGATTTCAAAGATTTTGTGGTTTTATTTATCAGCTAATATATATGTGGAGCTTTCTTGCATCTTATTAGAACAAAGGCAAAGGAAGATGCAAGAGAAATAGAAGACCATCTATGCCTTCAGGTAGCCCTCAGGCTCATTGAAGGGCAAGATATAGGTAGATAAGGAGTGACAATTTATGAAGGCAGTATGGTTTTATGGAAACAGTGTGATATTTGGAATCAGATACACTTGGGTTCTAGATCTGGATTTACCATAGGAGTGGGACCCGGGACTTGATACTTTATCACTTCTGTGCCTGTGTTTCCACCACTACAAAATGGGAATAATCATACTTACCTTCCCAGATTGTAAAGAAGTAACAGCATGGGGAATGTATACACTGCTTAGCACAGAACGTGAAGCCTAGTAGGTTCTCATGAAAGTCATTGTTTTCTTTTCTTTTTTCTTTTTTTTTTTTTTTTTGAGACGGAGTCTTGCTCTGTCGCCCAGGCTGGAGTGCAGTGGCTCGATCTCGGCTCACTGCAAGCTCTGCCTCCCAGGTTCATGCCATTCTCCTGCCTCAGCCTCCTGAGTAGCTGGGACTACAGGCACCCGTAACCGCGCCCGGCTAATTTTTTGTATTTTTAGTAGAGGCAGGGTTTCACCATGTTAGCCAGGATGGTCTCGATCTCCTGACCTCGTGATCTGCCCGCCTCCGCCTCCCAAAGTGCTGGGATTACAGGTGTGAGCCACTGCGCCTGGCCCATTGTTTTCTTTTCTTCATTTCTCCCTTCTGTTTTATGCTCTGTTACAGGAGACATAGAAGCATGCAGTTCCTTGGGAATTTTGAAGAATATAGGCTGTGATAGGAAATTCTTCCTGGAGCGGGAGGGCTTCACCTGGGCCTTTGGTTGTCTTCTGCTCACCCCTCCAGGGGCTCTCTCTGCCCTATTCTCCTGCTCTGGGAAGCTGACCTGTGTGGACTGCATCCATCCCTCTTTCATGTGTGGGCCTCCTGACCCTTTGGCCACTTACGGGGATTAGCCAGTGCTGGGTCCTAGCAGGAGGCTGAGGAGAAAAAAGGAGAGAAAAGTCTCTGTATTTTTGATTTCCCTTTTCAGCTTCTTTCTCCCTGCTAGCTGGCCTTGGGTTTGCTGCTTCCTAGACTGAAAGTCACTGCTCCTTTAAGGAATTTTCTCTACAGGGTTCCCTCCTGGTCTGGTAGCCTTTCCCTCCTCTCATTCCTTCAGGCCTAGAAGAGGTAACAGTTCTGCTCTTCTCTCCCTGGGACACTGCACTGTCCTTTGGGGTTTCTCTTCAATGCAGCCCACTCACGTGTAAATATTATTAAGTCTTCAGAAATAATCTTAATGTGAATGTGTCATCAGTTTCCCGCTGGCACCTCCAAAGCTGAGCTGAGTTTGAATAGGTGAGGAAGTGTGTTATTGGATAACCAAGGTGTGCTCTGGGGTCTGTGACCAACCCAGTCTGCTTATAGCTTGTTTTTCACATAAGGATGCTGACCTGAGTTGTGAGTTTGGGGAGATTTGCCGAACTAGAGCCTGAAGATCAGGCTAAGTGAACATATCAGATTTCTCATCATAGGAGAAATAATTTTTTGGTATTAATAATTGTTTCCTAACTCATTTTGAGAAGTATGGATTACGTAATCAATAGTTATATGGTATAGCAAATAAATATCAGAAACACCTTTCTTTCCATTCCAAAGAAGTATATGCAAATGAAATAGAGGGAAGGGAAGGCAAACAATATGTAATGAACACCTTCTCTAGTACCAGGCAATTTGCATATATTACCTTATTTATTCTACTCAGCAACGCTTATGGGTAAGGTACCATTTTCCCTGCTTTACAGAGGTAGAAAGGGAGGCTCAAAGACTTCAAGAGATTTGCCTAAGGTCACATATCTGGGACTTGGTGGAGCCACAGTTTGAATTCCCAGGGCAAGTCCGTGAGACGGTGATGCTCATGGCTTTTCTTTGTCAGACACCAGATAACAGTGGTATAGTTTGGATCTGTGTCCCTGCCCAAATCTCATGTTGAACTGTAATCTCCACTACTGGAGGTGGGGCCTGGTGGGAGGTGACTGGAAGCGGGGGAGGGTGTGGGGGGGAGGTGGATTTCTCATGAATTGTTTAGAGCCATCCCTCGATGCTGTCTTCACAATAGTGAGTGAGTTCTCAGGATATTTGATTGTTTAAAAGTATGAGGCACCTCCCCCACCTTCTCTCCTGCTCCTGTTTTCACCACGTGAAGTGCCTGCTCCTGCTTTACCTTCCCTTCTGCTATGAGTAAAAGCTCCCTGAAGCCTCCCCAGAACCATGAGCCAGATAAACCTCTTTTCTTATAAATTACCGAGCCTCAGGTATTTCTCTATAGCAATACGAGAATGGACTAATACAAACAGTGATATATTTAAGGGTTCCGATGACAGGTATAGTTACGTGCATCAGAGTAGGAGCTTCAGGCTGTTTGTTGCAGTCCCCCACAATAAGGAGGACTATGACATTGTAAAGCCATGCGTAGCAGTAAGGCAGGGGGGAGTTTTTCTGGAGTTAGGAATAGCCGTAGAGCCTGGCCTCGTGAACACTGGGTATGACTTTCTAACAGGAAGAATCCTGGGTATCTCTTGGGATTAGGTATCATGTTGTTCCCACTGCACAGGATTTTGTTTGCTCCCTGCCATTGGGTGCCTTCAGTTTCTACTTCTACTGAAAATGATCTCTCTCTTTCCCCTTCCTAATTATCTGTTTTTTTTTGTTTGTTTGTTTTTCTACCTAGTGGCTTCTGCTAGTGCTCACTTCTGCTAACTCACAACTTCTGCTGGGTCTTGGCCTTGCTGCCTCCTGGCTTCTCCCTGTTCATCTTTTCACTTCTAGTCTCTCTACCAGTGGATAGAGTCTGAACTGACAAATTCAAATTCTTGAAAGAGAGACTGTGCATATCCTCTTATATATCCAACTTGGATGTAGTTCTTTCTGCCAGGCTGAGCTGTGACTGCTGGTCAGGCAGCAGATTGTCCTTGGGGAGAGATCTGTCCCAGGCCCAGCCAGCTGGGACTGGACTGGGGCGAAAGGCAGAGCAAGCAGCAGGGCAGTAACACATACAACTCCTTTGCCATGTGACGGACAACATGTTCACAGGCTCCAGAAGCTAGGGAGGAGGCATCTGTGGGGGTCACCATTCTGTCTACCACTGTCAGCCCTCCCACCCAAAGATCAACTTTCATCCTTCATGCAGTATATAACCCCCATCCCAGGATCTCTCTGGTCTCTTCTGTTCAAAACCTCAAATGTCATCTAAATCTCAGGAGTTCAAAAGCCCCAGTTTTCATTATCTCAGTCGTCTACATCAGGTTCCAGTGATTAGGGCTTGAGCATCTTTGGGGAAGGGCATTTCTCTGCTTTCCACCAGCACTTACCACTGTGAGATAAACATTTTATGTGGATTACATCATTTAATACTGTAGTTAGATGTGGCATGTATTCAGTCATCGCATTTTGCAGTGAACAAATTCAGGCTTGGGGGAGTTAAATAGCGTGCCCAACCCTACCCAAGTAGTGGGAGGGGTCATGCCAAGTTCTCTTAACCTTTATTCCTGTGTTTGCCAAACTTGGCTGCATTTTAGAATCACCTGGGAAGCTTTTAAATCTCCTTGTGCCAAGCTGGGTGCAGCATCATGCACCTGTAGTTCCAGCTACTTGGGAGGTTGAGGTGGGAGGATCCCTCGAACCCAGGAGTTGGAGGCTGCAGTAAGGTATGATTGTACCACTGCACTGTATCCTGGGCAACAGAGTGAGACTCTGTCTCTAAAACATAAAATAAAAAAAAAAATCCCAGTGCCCATGTTGCACCTCAAACCAATTAAATAAGAATCCAGGGATGGGCATCAGCTCCTCAGGTGATTCCAGCTGTAGCTCCCATTCGGGAGCTGCCCACCGTGCTCTTACTTGTAAGTAGAGGTGTGGTGTGTAAGGAGTGAGTGCAGGAAGGTGGTCAGGGAAGGCTTCCTGTGCAGGGGAGTTTGAGTTTGTAGTGGTTTGCTGGGTGAAACAGTGAGGAGGCTTTTCCATGTTGCTGCTTTGCTCATTACTTTCCAAGTGTGATTGAATTTTTACGTTTTTGTGAGATGGTTCCAATAAATACATTCACAAATCCGGAAACAACAACAAAAAGACATCCTTTGTCAGGGCATCCATTCTCATTTATGGCTTCAGGAAAACACGGTTATTGCTGTTGCGTGTGCTTTTTTGTCAGGGAGATAATTGTGGAAATTGGGTTGCTTCCCGTCAAGCACAGATCCTTTTGTGGAGAAAATTTGAGCCATCCATGTATCCATTTTACAGTAATTGAGATTGGACTAGCAAATCATTAGCAAGCTAAAGGAAGATGATAGCCCTTTTTGTCAAAAGGAAGGTGGTAAAAATATGATGTTTGAGGAGAGCGAGAAGAAAAATAGGTTATCAGTGATGAGAGGAAGCCTGCCACCTGTCTTTCTCTTCCCTCCAGAAGGAGAAGGTGGCATCTATTAGAAGGGACCTCGAGTGGGTCCAGCGGGCAAGGCTCTTACAGGGGAAATCTATTGATGGTCACTGGGACCCAGACAGTCACTGAGAGGCAGACGGTTCAGGATGAGTCCCTGCCCAGGGCACTCGTGAAGTGGAGCAGCTTGGGGTCATCTGTTGCACCACCTAGGCTTGGTACTTACAGGTGTCGGTTCTGTTCTCTTTCTGATTGTCAACTTTGAAGATAATGAAATGCAGCTTGTGGAAGGGAGAATAAATAATGGCGGTATATATTTTAGGTAAATCAGCAGGTGAAGCTGCCAAATGCGGCGTTTGTTTATTTAAAATCCCTTTCACAGGGAGGCCCATGTTAAATACTTGTCTTTTCTCTCTGCTAGACCCTAGGGAATAGCAATAGTTCGTGTTACTCAAACACTCTGTGGAGGAAACGGGGATGAGTACAGGGCGTTCAGTCTCCAAAAGCAAATAAACACAGTAAGCCTTCCTCCCCTCACCTGGCTGGTATGGAGTAGGGTTAAAATGAGGAATGGTATCATGGCTAAAAAGGCCAATGAGGAAGGTGCCCCTTTAGAATCCGTGTGTTGGGGAGCAGATGTGATGAGCACCTGAGGTCAGACTCTGCCCTGGGAGGCTATAGCTGTGGCCAGGCCTTGTTTAATCTCCCTCTGTACCTCCAGCATTTACAGGGTCTGCTTACACCGAGTCAGTGTTTAGGAAATGTGTGCTGACCTGATTTGATTGACAGAACCTGTGATTTAATGACTGTGTTCTGAAAGAGTTGGGTATGTTTGCTTTTTACCTTTTTTTTTTTGAAGATTCATTTATCTAGGACCTCTTTGGAAAAGAAAATGGAAGCACATGTGCTTTTAAATTTGCTCCCCTCATGCAGCAGTCTTTTGCTTGGCCCTTGGTCCCTGGGTGATTCCTGGACAAGCACCATCTTGTAAGAACATAAACTGTATCAATTGCTCCCCTGTTATCCCACTGTGGTGGCCCCTGTCACCTGTGAGTAGTCAATGAATCAATGAATAATTTTTGAGGTCTTCACCAATGTATGCATTTTGGAATATGGTACATACATGTGCTACTGTTAATCTGCATATTAAATGAATAAACTTTTATTTATTTTTGTAGCTAAAAATAATCTTACGCATTGTAGAGTTTGATCTCCCCACCCCAGTGGATTTTCTTCGGGCCTCCTTGGGTTGTACACCACTGGGTTTACAGCATCCGTTTCAAGCGCCTCACTGGCAGGATCTGAATTCAGGCCCATTGCATTCTGGCCTATCTCTCCTTCTGCAGACTTGCCTCTTGTTGCTACCCAGCCATGATGAGCTGTTTGAGTTCCCAGGATTGATTACGTCTTCTCTCTGTTTCATGCTATCATCCACAGCTTTTCTTCTTAAGGTGACTAACATTTACTTGTCTTCCTGAACTCAGTTCAAGGATCTCCTCTTCTTGGAAGTCTTCCGTCTGCATCCCCCCTGTTAACTCTGCCTTGCTCCACCCTGTAGCATCTCCAGGTTGAGGCAGTGCCTATCCTCTGCATTCCTGAGAATCCTATGATTTCTCTCATACCAACTGTTAGCATGCCATGCAATCACTGTCTCTTTTTCCCTCCCTAATAATTTGAGCTCCTTGCAGTTGGAATTATATCATCTTTATTTCTTTCTGAGCATCTAGAACAGTGGTCTATCAAAGAATAGGTGTTTAATAACTACTTGTTCAATGAATCAGTGAATTTGTTTCCTTATTTAAATATTTGTTGCCAGCCAATACAACATGGAAGGCTCTGTGCAGGGGGCTGGTGTGGATGCAAAGGTGTATAGGGCACATTCCCACTCGGGGTTGGGACAGTTTAAGGCCTGCCGGGGAGACAGACACGCAGCTGTATGAGAGGGTAGAGAAAAAGAGGATGAGGAGAGAAGGGGAGGTGGGAGAAGAGTATGAGCTGAACACAAGGCAAGCAGCTATGACAATTTATATAGCTCTGTGCATTTTGGTCTCCTGTAAGCCCAGCGAGATAAAAAGGTATTCCCATTTTACAGATGAAGAAATTGAGGCCAAGGCTGATGAAAGAGCTTAAAGGTCTAAATTTACCTAGGCAGTCAATGGCGGAGTCAGGCAGGCTTCCAGCCCAGCCCCTTGGACAGCTTGCTGCTTTACATTCTGCCAACTACTGGTAGATATGTTTTTGTAAAATTAGAGGTGAGAATTTTAGAAGGTTGGATGTAACTGGGGTCCCAAGTATTGAAAACACTAATGGAATTATTTTAGGTTTATGCACTTGTTTTTTTCTCATACCCTAGGAGTTTATGTAATGAATTTTCATGGTGCTATAGATACTTAATGAAACTATGTGATCCATTAGTTAAATGAAATGTTGCTGAGTATGCCATGTTGCTGTCAAATAAATTCGTTTAATGTTGCTAAAACCTGGTTCTGGCTTTTGTTAGCTTTGAGTTTGATTACAGAAACACATTGTATTCCCTCCCTCTTTGCCTTGCCGAAGATTGACTGATGTCTGAATAACAAGAATGCTGCCTTCTGGAACATAGCATTTTATTTTTCCAAAAATACTTTCACATAAATCTATAAGATTATTCTATTATTGTTCCATTTTACAGATGAGTAAACTGATAAAAAAGATTAGTTTGTTTAATTCAAGATTTTACCTTAGAAAAGTTAGACCATCAGATACTGTGTAGCAAGATCCCACTTATTTATCTTTCAATTTAGTTAATAAAAAGAAAATATGCCTTGTTCATAAACAACTTAAATGGATTTTGGCCACATTGTTTGGACCCTATTTAAAAGTGGTACTACTAGTATTATGCTCTCAGTGTTAGTTTTATGATCTCAGCATACAGTAAGAGATGTGGAATATTCTCTTTCAGAATTTTATAGAGACACTGCTTATGTTGACATTTGTGATACCACGGTGTCAATTTCATGAAAACTGATAGGCAGTTTTCTTTTTCCACTTCTGGTCCAAAGGGAAAAAAAGTTCTATAGACTTTGTGAAATTGTAACTGATCTTTTCTCTCTTTGCTTTGGCTTCTAGGAATCTCATAGCCAAACATATAGCCTATCTTCTACAGCCATATCAATGTTTTTGATGTCTTATTCTTGCTTCTGCCCTCATCTTCATTTCTAATTTTTTGTGTCTCTTTGCTCCAACTTTCTTGTTTATTTAGTTTATCCTATTATGGAAAATGGCTTTTATAAGGCTTTTGGTAAGTTGCCTAAAATTCTGTTTTTTTTTCATAACGTGGGGTAAATACAACTAACAATGCCACATCGTGAAGATGAGCTGTTAGGCTAAGATATGTCTCCCATATTTGTGATTCGTTTTCTCCCCTTTCTTGTTACAGTTATGGCAAGAGAGCTTTGATTGGATCCATACCAAGGCTGTCAATCTATCAGTTTTGTGAGCTTCAAAGTTTTAAAGCTAGGAATATGTCCTATCACCGTGTTATTTTTCTTGAAAGTTTTGGTAAAGTAGATGATGATTGTACATCTGCTGCAATGATGGTGGACCTCTGTTAGCAGAAAGATACAGCGTCTCTCAATATTCTGCCAAAAGTTTCTATAGCACTTGTACCTTTCACACCTACAGCAGCTTTATAGAACTGCTGCCATTGGGTTCCTGCAAAGCCTTACATTTTCCTATTGTCTTGACCCTAAAGAAATCAAATATGCAGCATGGGGGAATTTTAGGCCTTTTCCAAATTGCCATGGTCAGATCAGATAGCCTTTGACATTAAAAAATAAAAATAAAAAAAAAAGATTGACAGGTTAATGACATAGTCCCAGGAATGGAGAGGGAGATAATCTACAAAAGGCCTACTTAGGCTGAGTAATTAAAGGAACCTGCAGTGGTCCAGGGGGCAGGAGGATGTAAAGTCTGAGTGGGCATGGAATACAGTCTAGAGAGGAAGCTTAGAGCTCAGGAAGAAAGGACCCTGTTCCGTGCAAATTTGGTCCATAGACTTCTGCCAAGTTTGGCAGTCTGGGGAGTTACAGGGGTGGAGGTGGAATCAGAACTGGCAGCCATAAAATAATTTTAAACTCAGCTAGCCTTGGGAATTAGAAAGTATGCCATCTAGGAAGCTGGAATGGGTTTGAACTTAGGAGAAAAGTGAGGCCAGAATGGACTTAGTTACATATTTCTTTGTGTTAAGAGTTTGAGCTAGGCTTTGTTTTCCCTTTTCTTAATTTGGAAATAATCTCACAATTACAGGAAGAAGTATAAGCATAAGAATAAGCAAAAAACACCCAATGCCCTTTACTTAGTATCACTCATTGCTGATATTTTATCTTACTTGATTTATCATTTGTGTGTTTTCTCTCTATGTATGTACGTATATACATATATATATATTCACACATATATGCATACACATACATGTATACATGTATATGTGTTTTTTCTGAATCATCTGAATATAAGGTGCACATATCTTGGCCCTTTACTCCTGAATATTTAGTGTGTTTCCTAAAAACAGCTATATTATTTTATATAATCACAGGAAAGTTTTCAAGTTAAATAAATTTACCATTAATGCAATATGTTTACCTAACTTACCATTCATATTCAAGTTTATCAACTGGCTCAATAATTTTGAGGGGCTAACATTTCTTTTCTCTCCAGTACAATATCCTGTATAGATATGGCATTTAATTGTTATTTTGGCTTAATTTCTTTTAATCTAAAATATTTCCACAGCTTCTCTTTGTCTTTTATTACATTTTCAGTGAATACAGCTCTCCCCTTCCGATTTCTTAAATGCCTAATCTGATTAGATTCCTGGCCAGAACACTACACAGTACTGCATAGTGATGTTATGTTCTGCTCAGGGTATCACATGCTATCCATCTGCCCCTGTTTGTTGATGTTAATTTTGTTAACAACGTTTTGTCCAATTTCTCCACTGTATAATTACAAAGTTTCCCTTGGAACTGATAAACAATAAGTGCGAAGACAGTTTAAGACCTGCAAATATTCTGCTTCTTATCAAAAATTTTTCCCGGACTTAGCATCTGTTGATGATTCTTGCCTGACCAGTCTTTACTCTGATGGCTGCAAAATGTTGATTTGATAACTCCAGCACTCCCTTTGTGTTTACCAGTCAGCACCTGTTCTGCTATAAGCAAGACAGCCTTCCATTCTTACCCCATTTGTTTGTCTGTCTGTCATCAGTATAGATTTGTGGATTTCTATTTTTTCAATGGTTTATTATTTATTACCATCCTTAATTATATCGGTATTTAAATCATTCCTAATTAGGCTGGTGAGAACTCTTCATGATGGCTTCTGTATCCTTTATAAAATTCTCTCATCATTTTTTGTTTGTTTTGAGCACTTAATTTCTGGAATAACAAGATATTTCAGGCTCATTTTGTACCTGCCATGCGCCAGCTCTGAAATAATTCATTTCCCCCAAGAAACCTTGGTTTCTTTTGCTGAAAAATGATAACAGAAACCAAAATCTAAGTATTAGTTATCTCATTGTTGCTAGAGTATCTTTGCTCCTAGGCCCTCTTAATGGACAGAGATAGGAAATAGTTGCATATCAACACATATATACATTCATACCTATACATTTATATACAGATGCATGCATATTTTATAAATCCTGAGTTTACTTTGAAACCTACAATTTTCAGTCTATCACTTTAGCATTCTTTCCTGCTTTCCTTTCCCTATTTTAACATCTCTTGTCCCATAGGAGAAGCTTGGCTCCCAACAATATCTGCATTTACTCCTTTGCTCCATTCTATAGAACATCGAAAATAGTTTCAGAATTGCTTTGCTCATAACACTACAGAAAACAAGCCTGCTAAAAAGACCTCAGAATTTGCTTGCTGCTGCTCTTGCTTCAACTCTACCCAAGACTGGGTGTGTGCCATCCAATTCTGTGTTTATAAGTTATTTGATAAAGTTTTTTCTCTTCCACCTGTTTAGCAAGTGTGCTTATGATGCCCATTTAACATAAAATTGAATTGATTTGCTTCAGTCTGCTTTTAGTTCTACGATCCCCCTTACCATCCCTATTAATTTAATTTTCTTCAGATATGTAGAACATTAATATGCTTCCAAATGTGGAAATTATGCAAAAAGCTGTATTCTGAGGAGTATCACCCTCTGCCATAACCCTTTTACCCTGGCACCCAGTCACATCACCACCCAGTTCTCCCTATGAAAAACAACTTCCATGTTATCTGGTTTGTTTATCCTGTGTATCTTTTTGTAAAGATAAAAGGTAGCATGCTATAGATTGAGCTAGGCTTTTTAATGCCCAAATCTCATTTATCTTCCAAATCTCACATACTTGGTGGTGGTGTTCCCATTTTACTGATGAGGAAACTGAGGCTTCTTGTCTGTACTGTTATAAACCTTTGGGCCTTGTTGATAAATGTCCTGTTTTCTGTGCTTTATACCTTGGATGAAGCTAAGTCTAAGATATCGAATCATAAAACATGCCAATTGTGACATACAGTTTTAATGCATGCAGTTACTGCCACACAAACTCAAAGTCTTGGTTTTGGGAAAACTACATTTTCATCTGTCTTTTAGCACTACATTATGTTTTTAAACTGAAATTTGCAGTGGCGTTAGTGTTATCACACAAGGCTCATATCAGGTTGGGAGGGGTTTTGTTTTCCTAATTCTGGTGAAATTCACATGACATAAAATTAACCATTTTAAAGTGGTATTTATTATAGTCATGATGTTGTGCAACCCTCACTTCTGTCTGGTTCCAAAATATTTTCATCACTCCAAAGAAGACCCCATACCCATTAAGCAGTTCCTCAACCTTATGCCCCTCCCCTGGCCTCTGGCAACCACTGATCTGCATTCCATCTCCAGGGATTTGTCTATTTAGGATATTTCATATAAGTGAAATCATACAGTATGCAACATATTTTGTCTAACTTACTTGCCTTGCTGTTTTCAGGGTTCATCCACGTTGCAGTGTGTATCAGTACTACATTTCCTTTATACAATTGAGTAATATTCCATTGCACCAATATTTTGTTTTTCCATTCACCCACTAATGGAAATCTGGGAGGGCTTTGAGTGAAGTTGGAGAGACGAGTGTCTTGTAACTTGCCTTGTGCTGTGCTATTTACTAGCTATGTGGCTTTGGACAAGCGCCTAAGCTGGCTTGTGCCTCAGTTTCCTCGTTTGTTTCATGTAGATAATTATATTGGATTCTTAAAATAGTTGAATGAATTGTATCAAATAATGCCAGAAAAGCTCATAGCATAATACTTGGCAAATAATGGGCCCTCAATAAATAATAGCTGTTTTATTGTAGGATTATATGAGAAAAGGGGGAAAGAAAGAACACAAATGTGTGTTATAGTATGGGTTTAGTGTGTGTTTGTTCTGTTGTAGCTGCTGAAACCTTCATGCTTTGTTTAAAAAAAAAAGGCATATCTGTTTTCTCTGCTTTGTGGTTTAGTGTTTTTGGCCCCCACCCCATCAATAAACATGAAATTTTACATTTTAGAAGCAGTTCACTAGACAGAATGTCTGTAGTGGAATGTTACATAATTCACATTTAGATTTGAAGAGCTCATTATAAAAAACCTGACACACTTCAGGAATATTAAATTACTGCAGATTGTGTGGAGCAAAGAAATATTATTGAAGCATTTCAAAATTCCAGGCAAGCCTGAATTTAACTGATAGGATTTCACAGCCTTTACTGGGGAAAATGATTTGAGTTGTCACATGGTTTCTGGCCCTGGAGGACTTTAATCTCCTTAATTACAAAGAAGCGAATTTCCTAAATAATTTGGAGTTACTTCACAGCATTTGCTCAACCTCTGCCTTTTGGAAAATTAAAGGGGATGCCAGGGTCCACACTGTGGTACATTCTCACAGTACTGTAGCTTCCTTATTTAAGTTTTTATTCAGAATGATGGTGGTTTCCTTTCATTATTGATGTAGGGATGTACTTCAGAAATTCACAAGTAATGCTTGTAACACTTGAACATAATCATATTTTGTTGAACAAACATCTTTGAAGATAGAAATAAGGAGAGATGCTATATTGTGATTTATAAGGTTGAAGAAGAGAAAATGGCCCAAATCCAATCCAGTTTTATACAATTGATTTTAAAAAATTCTTGAAAATGTGTAAAATCCATATATTTCAGCTACTTTCTGAATTTATAGATTAGGTACCTACTGTGTCCAAGACCAACATGATACCATTTCCTACAATTCATCCTGAGACAGCAAAATTAACTTGTATCAATTTCCTCCTTTGTAAAGGGGAGATAATACAGACTTTCGGTCACATACCGGCCAGGTGGCCTTGAGCAAGTGGCACAGGAATTTATGTGCCTAATATTTATTAAATGCTTACCAGGAGGCATGCCAGACACTCTTCCAATCACATTACGTGTGTGATCATACTTAATTGCCACAACAGCTCCCCCAGTGGGCACTATTATCCCCATTGTACAGATGAAGAAACTGAGGCAAAGACAAGGTTGAGTAACTTCCTCAAATCATGTGGCTTGTAAGGGGCTGGAACTGAAGTTGTCCAAAAATCAAATCATAAAATAAGTTGGGAAAGAGTCTATTTTGCTACAGAGATCAGAACATCTTTCTGCCTGTGATGTCTCTTTGAACTGAACCTTGAGGATTCAATAGAATGTCCAGGCAGACTTGAGACAAGAGATTCCATAGAAAGATAGCAGCACAAGGAAAAACTGGGAAGATGGGGAAGTGCATCACCTCCCTGCTAGAGTCGTGCCTCCTTTTACTGGTTTGGTTGTTGATTTCACCCCTCCTTGCTTTTACACATGCTGATCTTTCTGCCTGAGACAACCACTCATTCATTCATTCATTCATTCTACATACAATTATTGAGAAGCTGGTGGTCCTTTCCCTTATCGTCCTTTTGACAGAAACATAGCTTTTCAACATCTCACAGAGTAGGGCTTATCCTCTTTGAAGCTTTATTAACCCTTCCAAGCAAAGATGAATACTTGCATCTTTCCGCCCCAGTGTGCGTGGTATTTATACCTGTTTTAGTTTTGCTCACATGTGTGTGTTGCCGTCCCTTACATGACTGATACCTCTGTTAGACTGAGCTTCTTGGAGGACAGGAAACAACCCTTGACTATGTACTCTTGGCCAGCATGGTTACATGGTAAATGTCTGTTAACATGAATGAGCTAGTATTTGTATCTGGCCCATAGCAGATTCTTACTAAATATTTGCTGCAATGAAATGGTAAATATTATTAATAAATTTTATTATGTTTATACATGACCAAATTTTGTGACTCTGCCATCTCCCATTGAACGTTGTCTTAGAGACGAGGGTCTGGAAAGGGTGTGGGTGCTGGTGACAAGGTATAGATAGATGGTATAAAAGTGACAGGATAAATTCTCATTTTCTGTGTATGGTTTCATGGACCCTGTTTTACAAAGATAACTTTCTGTTTTTCTTAGTTGTAGCCTTAGATTCACCAGATCAAGTACTTTCATTTGGGCCATTTCCTTTTTAAAAAATAGGTAGCTTATATATAAATAAAACAAAACAGATACCTTTGGATTAAGGTGGGAATTTCCTCATATTGAAGCTTTACTATAATTTTATGTGGCTTTTATATTAGACTTTCTGGTTAAGATTAACTAGATTGTCATGATTAAGAGGTTGGGGTCATTATTCTTTTTGAACTGAAACTGGCATTTGAGGTCAGTCGTTTTCTATTAAACCATTCTACATCTGTGGGATGAACTAAGAATTGGCTGCACAATTCGAAGATCCATTTCTAATAGCTTTTTCTTAATATTTTTCAAAAGTGGAAATTGGTGAAATGTTTACTTTTTAATAGAACTCTCAGATATAACTATCAGATAGTCACAAGAAAGGACTATTATCAAAGAGAATACTGTATATTTGTTTAATTTAAATGAGATCGAGTGAGACACTATATGTGAAGCAGTAGCTAAGGGCATGGTATATAGTAAATATTACCTGTAAGTGAAGTGGTTGTATTATCATTATTCTGTTCCTAGCACGGTGTCTGAGTTTAATAGCACCTGGTATTATTCAATGCACATTTATTAGAGAATGAATGAATGAAATCTGTGTCTGCCTGTTTCTTTTCTTTTTCTCTGCACATTAAATGCTTGTCTGCTCTTATAGCTGGAGGAAAATCTGACATAAAAATTGGCTTGCTGGAATGTTTCTTGGCCCCATTTGTCACCTTATCCTTGGAGCCCATTTGTATGTCAACTCCATGCCCCCTCTGATGCCTGCCAGTGAGGGACAGACCACAGGTTACTTCCATATGATCTGCTTTTGCTGCCAAGGTGCTGATCAAGCTTGGCTGATGGATGGGTGCTCTCTTATTGGAAATGTCTCCATGGGGCTGGTCAGGACATACCTTTGCTATATATTCTGGTTGGGATCTAGTGCTTGAAAATAAGAAACATAGAAAACAGAGTTGGGTTTTGTCCCTCTTATAAATCTAGACTTTTAAAGATCTATTTTGAGTTACCTAGTTTGAGAAGCAGTTTTGCCGCTAAGCCTCTCATTCCCTTTGCTGTATAAACCCTATCAATGCCTTCATGAAACCATGGGAGCAGTTTTTGCATAAAGACCAAGATTTTGTTTGTATATGTTTGCCAATTCACTTTTTATAAATTTCTGTTTAACTTCATAACAGTGATGATTCTGAATGTTCTCTTGCCTTGATTTGCAGCACTCAAAAAGAGTGAATGAAATGTGCAGCTCAGAGTGTCATTTCTGAAGGGAGGAGTCTTTCTCTTGGAGAAGAGTCCTCAATGAGCCTGGCCGAGGCCCGGGATCTGTGTGAAGTGGACTAAGGATTAAGTAGGATGTCAACTGAGACAGAACTTCAAGTAGCTGTGAAAACCAGCGCCAAGAAAGACTCCAGAAAGAAAGGTAGGGCTGAATTTGACCTTTTTTTAATGGCTACTTTTCTGCACAGGAATGAGTTTTTAGATCTCTGGAATGATATAAAGAAATATCTTTATGATTGCATATATTTTTAAATAGTTATTTTGTGTGTTTTGTGTTAATAATATAATAATGTAATGGTTCATCATTATTCTCCAGATAAAATCCAAAACTTTTCTGCACAGGAATGAGTTTTTAAATATCTGGAATGATATAAAGGAGTATCTTTATGATCACATATATTTTTAAATAGTAATTTTGTGTGTTTCGTATTCATAATATAATAATGTAATGGCTCTTCATTATTCTCCAGATAAGATCCAAAACTTTTCTCATAATATACAAAGTTTTTCTGCATATGCCTTCTATGCATCCCTCCAGCAACATCTCTGCCTAACCACCCCCCTTCCCCATCCCTGTTTACCCTCCAGATATTCTGTAGTTCATCATCGCCTGTACCAGTGGTTGTCAAACTCCGGCTGGACCCGAATCACTGGGAGGGCTTGATAAAGCCTTCATTTCTGAGTCTCATCTCAAAGTGTCAGATTCAGTAAATCTAGGGTAGGACCCAAGACTCTGCATTTAAAACAGGTTCCCAGGTGATGCCAGTCTTGCTGGTCCAGAGACCCTACTTTAAGAACCACTGGACTCTTAATCCAGCCCGAAATCCTTTTCTGTTGCTCTTCATTTTTTTTTTTTTCCTGAACTGACTCCTGCTTATTCACTAGGTTTGAGTTTAGGGGAGCCTCCTGGGGGAGCCTTTTCTTACTCCCAAAATTGATGTAAATGTTTTTATTTGTTTTGTTTCATTAGCACTTGGTTAGTGTTTTGCTTTATTAAAAATGTCCTGCATAAACTCCTTTGGAGCTAGATGTTTCGTTCACATTTTAAGTCTCAGCACTTAGAAAGTGCTTGGCAGAGAGGAGCCAGAGATATCTGGCAATGAAGATTTGCAGGCATAGTGTGATGATAAAGTAATTCTGTCACTTTTCGTGTTTTCTGGAGAATTTAGCCCCATGGCTTTAGGACCATGTTTTTCAGTAAGCTTCACCCCTGCCAATTAAATATGAGCAACTTCTTTCTCTCTGTGTGTGTGTGTTTTCTCCCTGTAGTTTCTGCTCTCTCTCCCTTGTTTTCTCAGCTGCATGGGAGAGGATTGACAGAGCTCTCTCTCAGGTCTTGAAATCTGTCAATGTGGGCTTGCAAACTGGGATGCCCTTGACTTCTTTGTATAGGCAGTGATTTGTTTGAGACATCGTTGTGCCTGCCCAGTTATGTTTTGTGATGGCATTTGTCTGACACTCTATATGAAGTAAGGGACATAACTGTAATACATATGCAGCTCTTTGACAGCCAGAAGCCCAGGAAGGACTATAAATTTTGCTTTTGATGTTTATTTGAAACACAAATACTTTGGAGGCAGTCTATTTTGTTCCCTAAAAATTAATGTAAACCTTGTTTTCTATGCATCATGGTCTAAGAATAATAGAAAGAAAGTAAGTGGGTGAAAGAACATGTCTTGGGAGACTGCTGTGTGGAAAAAGAAAAAAGAGGTCGCAGAGCCCAGTATGTACTAGAATTCAAATGCTTTTTCAGTGGAAACTGACAAGTTATATTTTTGCCTTAAATTTAACCTTTCCACTAAACCTGCACTCTTGAATGCTTAATGCATTAAAAATGTTATCTTAGTGCATATTTTTTCATTCTTCATTTTAACATGCAAAACCAGAAGTATTCTGCAGAGAGGATTCAGGTTTTCAGGACATTGGCTCAGTTGGGGATTTGGGATGAGAGCATGAAGGTGACCCTTTTTGAACCTCCTCATCTTCATGTCCTAAAAAAACTCTGAAATCAACATAATACATATGTGAGGAGTGTCCTCCATGGACTGGCTAATATCATGGGATTTGGGTAGGCAGAGCTGGATTCAAATTCTGGCTTTACCACTTTCTCACAATGTGACCTTTGAAAGTATTTAACCTGATCCTCATTTTCCTCTCTTATAAAATGGGTATATAATATTACAGACTTCAAAGGCTCACTATGAAGATTAATGAAAATAAGGCAAATAAAATACTTATTACTTGGCATGTATTAAATGCTTAACAAAGGTTAGCTGTGATCTTCTTCCTCTTTTTCCTCCCTTTTCCTTTTCTCCTTCTCTTCCCCTCCCTTCCCTGTCATCTTTCTCCATTTCCCTCCTCTCCACTCTTTTCTCTTTTTCTCTTCCTTCATCATTCATCTTGTCTTAATTAGCTTGAGCTGCCACAAGAAAATACCATAGACTTGACAGCTTAAACAACAGAAACATGTTTCTCACAGATCTGGAGGCTAGAAAGTCTAAGATCAAAGTGCCAGCCAATTTGGTTCCTGGTGAGGGCTCTCTTCCTGGCTCATAGATGGTCATCTTCTCACCATGTCCTCACGTGGTAGAGGAAGACCAAACTCTTTCCTTCTCTTCTTTCCCATCACAAGAGCCCCACACTCACAATGGTATCTAACCATAATTACCTTCCAAAGGCCCCATTTCCAAACACCATGCCACTGGGGTTCAGGGCTTTAACATATAGATTTTGGTGAAACACAGATATGCATAACACACCACATCTCCTTCTTTTCCTCCTCCCCCATCCCCCATCCTCTTCATCTGTATCATCATCATCATCATCACCATCGCATAGATATTTTTGCTTATTCTGTTTTATACCCAAGGGGCTCTTGAAAAGTATATAGCTAATTTGTCCCAGAACAATATTTTGCAATTGTTTATAATTGTGAAACAGTGATAAACAATTATTATTCTCTATACATTTGTCTGGGCCAAGGCACATGTATATTAAAATGAGAGAGAAGGGCTGGGCGTAGTGGCTCACGCCTGTAATCCCTGCACTTTCGGAGGCTGAGGCAGGCAGAACACTTGAAGTCAGGAATTCGAGACCAGCCTGGCCAACACAGTGAAACCCCGTCTCTACTAAAAATACAAAAATTAGTCAGGCATGGTGGCACGCACCTGTAATCCCAGCTACTCGGGAGGCTGAGGCAGGAGAATCGCTTGAACCTGGGAGGCAGAGGTTACGGTGAGCCAAGATGGCTTCATTGCCCTCCAGCCTGGGTGACCAAATGAGACTCCGTCTCAAATAAATAAATAAATAAATAAATAAATAAATAAAAGAGAGAGAAAACGTGCTGGTAACAGCATTAATTCATTTCTTGTTCTTCAGTTTTGATGATGTAATAGTATTTCATTAAACAAATTTGCTAACTTGGACAAAATTAATACAACTTTAAAAGGAATAAACAGTTTATATACTGATATTGAATTTTGAATATAACCATGTCGTTATGCTCTTTTATTACTAATACTTTCTCCAACTATGCTTGGATTTTCTATGGAGACAGCATATAACCTGCAAATAAGTTTCTCATCAATCTTTAAGTACTTACTTCTTTTTCTCTCTAATTGGCTGGATCTGTCATTATAATATTTAGTGATAATAAATGTCCTTATCTCGTTCCTGATTGCTTCTAGCTTACATTTAAGTTATGTTTAAGTTTTTACTAAAGATAGTTTTCTGGCTGGGCATGGTGGCTCATGCCTATAGTCTCAGCTCTTTGGGAGGCTAAGGTGGGTGGATCGCTTGAACTTATGAGTTTGAGACCAGCCTGGGCAACATGGTGAAACCCCATCTTTACAAAAAAAAATGCAAAGAATGGCCAGGCATGGCGGCGCATGCCAGTAGTCCCAGCTACTCAGGAGGCTGAGTTGGGAGGATGGCTTGAGCCCATGAATTGGAGTTTGCAGTGTGCCAAAATCACACCACTGCACTCCAGCCTGTGCAATAGAGCCAGACCTTGTCACAAAACAAAACAAAACAAAACATACCTTGTTAGTTCCCCTTTATGTATTATTTTCTAGGAAGTGTTTTTAAATTCTAAATTTGCATGTTGAATTTTATCATAGGCTTTTTCTGTATTTATTTCAATGATTATACATATTTTTCCTCTTATAATTTATACTGTGGCAGATTTAACTGATAGATTTTTAAATATTCATTTCTGGGGTAAATCTTACTTGGTTGTAATGCTATTATTTTCTACACCCTGGTGGGTTTGATTCGTTAGGTTAAGGAATGGTTTTTGTATCTATATTTATCAGCAAGATTGGTGTATAACTTCTTTTCTGGGACAAACCTTGTGTCTGGTATTAGTTAATGTTATATTCTCATATAATGATTTTTATCAGTTAATGTTATATCCTCATATAATGATTTTTGGTAGGAATGAAATGCTGAATAATATTGAGGACTATTTCTGGAAAATATTAACTTTCTTTACAATTATTTAACTTTTTAAAAGCTATATATGCTTATTGCTGAAATTAGAAAGGACAAAGTAACCATGCATAATTCCGTAAAACAAAAATAACTACTATTAACAACTGAAGTTACATCCTTAAACTGGCCTTCCAGGATAATATGTAGTTGACATCATACTCTTCATACAGTTTCATGTCCTATTTTGTTATTTGACATTAGTGTGTTTCCTATATTATTACCTGATATTACAAAATAGAAGTGTTTTTTTTCCCCCTCTTATTAAGATTTAGATGACTCCTGGGGCAGATATTTTAACTCCTGAAAAAAGAATACCTGACAATTTGGGTCATCTATTGTGAGAAAGAGTGGCATAAAGGCCCTTTAGAGTTCCTCACAAATCTATCACCCTAGTTCTTTAACCCAGGCTGTTGAAAGCAAGCCAGACGGTTTCAAATACAAGTCACATAGGGGCATATTTCATCACAAAATGAGTTTCTAGGCAGGCGATTTATGAAATGTAACTAGAGTATTCACAATTCAAATGAGGGATGTAAGTAGTGAAAAATAAAGTTGTTTTTTTCATTTTATTTTTATTGGATTGTGTCACTGCACATACAGCTTGTCAAATGGTGCCCATTCCAGAAGTGGAATTTGATGGAAGACCTGAGGAAAAGAATGTATATTTTTAGGTTCGTTACCTGCCATCAAAGGAGGACAATCAGTTGACACTACTCTTGTTATTTGTAATCTCCGTATTAGGGCACTCAGTGGAAGATCATGGTAGAGGAACGTGTCCCATGATGAACAGATAGATATTTCTGGGGGCAGTGCCTGGAGTCTTCCAGTCAGTGCCATCTGGCAGCTTAGTGTAGTGGAAAGAGCACTGACTTTGGAGCACAGCAGACCTGGTTTTTAGTTCTAACTCTTCTCTTTATGTGCTGTGTAACCAGAGACAGGTTAATTAGCCTCCTTGAGCCTGGTTTCACTTATCTTTAAAGGGAGGGGTTTGTGTATTTTTATGTGTGTGTGAATATTTCCACTTGTCATTAGAAAGGTGAGGGGGCTGGGTGTGGTGCTCATGCCTGTAATCCCAGCACTTTAGGAGGCTGAGGTGGGCAGATCACCTGAGGTCAGGTGTTCGAGACCAACCTGGCCAACATGGTGAAACCCTGTCTCTACTAAAAATACAAAAATACAAAAATAGGGTGTGGTGGCACTCGCCTGTAATCCCAGCTACTTGGGAGGCTGAGGCAGGAGGATCACTTGAACCTGGGAGGCAGAGGTTGCAGTGAGCTGAGATTGTGCCATTGCACTCCAGCCTGGGCAAAAAGAGCAAAACTCAAAACTCAAAAAGAAAAAAAGAAAGAAAGAAAGGTGAGGGAGATACTGTGAGTAAAGAGCTAGCTTGGGGTCTGCAATGTAGTCTGGCTTAGTCAGTGTGTTAGTGCTCTGTCCTCTTCTTTCTGAAATCACAGTTCACCATCACCTCCTTATTTTCTAGAAACACCTGGAAATAGTGAAACTTTTTTACTTCCCTTATATTTCATATTAGTGCTATACCCAGGGATCATCAATTAACCACAATGACAGTGACAAAAAGCTGCCTTCATATTTTCTCCCAGGAGAATTTTGGCTCCAAGAATCAAGGCTTTAATGGGATTCAGAAGTCAGTGATCACAGGGCAGATGCCTCAGGTTTGAAGTCACATCAAACCGAGTGTGAACCTTCTGTAACTCGCAGCTGTGCTAACTTTTGGAGGTTTCTTGAAAAATTCTAGTCAGTTTGGGTTAAAGAATGGTTTCAGTAATGTCACACTCAGGGTCATGACTGCTCAACTGGTCATTAGCCCTGGGAAGTAACTTCCGCTAACATTGGCTTACCTCATAGGAGCTTATAAATTGCCATCATATTGATTATCTCATTAGGTCATCAGGATCCTGAGAGAATGATCTTTTAAGAAAACAATCTTTTTATCAGGCTTATTTATCATTGCTTCTATATGCTGCTCTTGTCCTGCAGAGGAGGCAGCCTGGGGTCAATCAAGATACTGGGTATTTGGGTTCATACTTTAAGCCCCCCACTCTCTCATGGTCTAACTTCAGACAAGTCACCTCTGCTTTTTGAGCTTCACTTTTCTCAGCCACCAAATGGATGTAGAGATAATATTTGCTTGCCCAATTTTGAAATGTAGGACGGGGCATCATTAATTAATTAGTTCTTTTGTCCACAAACATTTATCCAGCTCCAGCATGAGCCCAGCCTATGCTTGGTCTTCTGCAGAACAGAGAAATGCCTTAGAAGGAGATTCTGACTCTAGTCATCCACGCTGTAGTTAAAGAACTGTGAGCTGGGAGGGTGGCGCAGGGGAGGGGGCCTTCTGATATTTATGTCTCGTCTTTCCCTGAAAAAATATTGTGTTTCTACTTTGCTGCTTTTATTCATTCCCAACCTATTACTGTTCATAAAATGCATAAGGTTTACTTTGACTCCAAGTTTATTTTTATTCATTAAAATATTCCATGTTTATCATAATGAGGATGATTCTCATTAAAACTCTTTTCATTGCCTTCCTGACTAAAAGCAAGTACATTTTTATTTTAATAAACATAAGTAACACAATACTCTGAAAGTCTGTATACATTAAAACGTGAATAACCTCTCTGGAATATACAACTTCTCTGGAAGTTGACATATATAAAAGGTTATAAGAAGTTAATGTTTGGTGGCAGGCCACAGCCTGGTTGTCACAGGTGAGGTCTCAAGAGGAAAATGATTTGTCAGTGGTCACTCCCCTGGGCAATGGCAGAGCCAGGGTTGCAACCCAGGAATGGCTCCCTGGCTGGAGCTCCTTCCACTCAGTAGATCCCAAACAACTTATGTTCTTAGGATTCACCTCATTAACATCTCAGGGTGTTTGCTTCCTCTTCCTTACAATGAAGACTTCTGAAAAGAGCCCATGTTTTAGAATTAGATAAACTGAAGTTGGAGTCAAGGCTCAGCACATTTTCTACTTGCCTATCTTGGGCTGGCTACCTAATCTTTCTGGGCCTCAACTTCTTCATCTGTAAAATGGAAATAATAGTAGTTCGTATCTTAGAGTGTTGCAGTGAGGATTCCATGAGTTCACAAGTATAAAAAACCTAGCATTGAAACTCTATACCTAGAATCAAGATTAAGAAATATTCCTTTCCTCTGTGGCCCCCAACTCCCACCATGTCTGAGAGGCAGCACATCTCTAGTGGTATAGGAAATATAGAGAGGTAGAAGGTACCCTTTTCTCTAGAGGAATATGGGGTAGTTGGTAAGAAAAAGACACTTGTCCCTCTTCAAATGGATACTTGCTCCAAGAATAACTGAGGGAATGAATAAGAAGTACAAAGGAAAATGGACCATGTTGTCAAGCTACAAAGATTTACTAATAGCCATCATGTATGCTTCCTGCATATGAGCCATTTTAGACAAATTTTCCCTAATAAGCCTAACTCTTACATCATCCCATTGAATACATAAGAAAATAATGTTTGCAGAGGTCAAGAGACTTGCCCCAGGTCATGGGGCTTGTCTGTCTGAGTTGCCATACACTAGGTCTTAGCAGTGCTGAAGTCTGTACTATCTTCCCTGAATGTATTCTGTGGGTTTGCCCTGTGGCTTGATGCTGGAGAGTTGGAGAATGTGAAAAAAATTATAGGGGCTATACTCTTCTGGGGAGATGGGAGCATAGAAACTGATTAGCTACATCATGTAAATTTATGGTGCTGTTCTGTCTTGGCAGGGTTTTGGTGAGCTAATCATTCTATATGAACTCTGTGATTTGTAAGCTTTAGAAATTCAAAACCAAGGATTTAATTATAAGAAAAGATAAATTTTTCTGAACTTGATCAGTAGAGCTCTTGGGCCAAAGGGTTTGGAGGCAGAGAGTAATGTTTTGGGGCCAAGCAGTTTACTTCTTTATGGTAAGACTGATCATATGATGTGCTGTGGTGAAAAGAGACTTCTGTATTCTCTGTGGTCACACGGTCATGAATTTATTACAGGACACTTCACTCGATGTGGTCATTCACTGAAGATAAACTGTTTCAGGTTTAATTGGTGACTTAGTTCAGCACCTTGTTCTAACTGGTTCCCTTGCTAGAAGTCAGGCTTTCTCCAAACTCACCTACATAGCTCTTTTCCTCCTTGAACTTGTACTGTAACCCTGGCAGCATACACCACAGGACAATACATCAAGCCCTTTGAAATGTGGTTCCCATCTCCTTTTCTGTCACTCCGCTTGCTCCCACCCTAAGCCACACTAAGCTTCAGGTCCCAGGTCTCACCTCTGTGGCTTTTGTGCAGACTGCGATTTCACCTTGGATAGCTCTCTTACCCTATGCACTTGCTCTTGGCGACTCCTGTTCATCCTTCAAAACTCAGTCACCTGTTTTTTTTTTTTTTTTTTTTTTTTTTTTTTGAGAAGAAGGCTTGCTCTGTCACCCAGGCTGGAGTGCAGTGGTGTGATCTCAGCTCACTGCAATGTCTGCCTCCCAGGTTCAAGCGATTCTCCTGCCTTAGCCTCCTGAGTAGCTGGGATTACAGGTGCATGTCACTGCACCCAGCTAATTTTTTATATTTTTAGTAGAGATGGGGTTTCGCCATGTTGGCCAGGCTGGTCTTGAACTTCTGACCTCAGCTAATCGGCCTGCCTCAGCCTCCCAAAGTGCTAGGATTACAGTCACCTTTTGGTTAACATTGTGAGTTTCCTAACATCCTCAATTAATTAATCACTGATTATCAATTCATGTGAGCTTCTACATATCTTTCAAATCCATTCATTCCTTCTTCCCCACTGGCCCCCGTCCCCGAAGGTAGTTCAGGCTACCTTCATCTCTCATCTGGATCATCCTAGCACCCTCCTAAATGGTTTTCAGGTTTTCACTGCTGTCCATCTCCAAGCCATTCTCAGCACTGCTCACTAATGCGGAGATTTAATCAGATCACACTCCTGCATAAAACCCTTCAGTGAGTGGCTCCTCCTGCCCTCAGGAAAAAGTCCACACTGCTTATCATGGCATCAGAGAGGTGCTGTCTGGTCTGACCCCTTCTTATCTGTCCAGGCGCATTCCTCACCACTCTTGCCAATCATACGTCACCGAGTGGTCCCACTGAATCAATTGCAGTTCCCTGACCCTACCATGTTGATTTTTTACACGTGGGGTTTTGTACATGTTTTTTCTTCTCCTGGGAATACATTTTTTCTGTATTTGTTTCAAAGCTAACTCCATGTATTCTTTAGTCTCAAGTTAAAGATTACTTTTCTCCAGAAATGCTTTGGTGACCCACTGCAACCCACCCACATGCCCCCCAGTTGTGGGTCATGACCATGCTGTGTGCTCTCAACCACTTTGCATTTTCTCCATTATTTAAATAAGGTTTATTCTCTTTATCACTCACTAGGCTGGGAGATCTGTGAGGACAGGGACTGTGTCTGTTTTTTCAGCCACTTTAGTTCTGCCACTAAGGACAGTGTTGAAAAGTGTAGGTATGCA